>NC_000007.14:83718900-84021930 GCF_000001405.40 Homo sapiens
GTACTCTTCCCTGAACCATTACTAAAAATAACTATTTCAGTCATGTGGTATATAGATGGTTGCTTTTCTTTCCCTTTTTCTTCCTAAATCCTAAAAGCACAAAGGCAGGCCTTTCTCCATTCCAAATTGTTGTAGAAGTGGAGTGCATTTGGACTGTTGGCTAACACCAAAAGCATCAAATGTATTGGAATGAATATATTATCATCTTTTAGATTGTCTCCATTAGTCACATGCACAGATCTTTTTGCCATGATCTAATAAAGATCTATCCTGTTGATCTAGTTACACAAGGAAAGTTAACACAGTAAAATAATATAGTGAAACATCCATCACTCTTTCTTTTAATTCAAATTTTGTCACAATATTTCAAAGACTGCAAACTGACTTTCAACAGTAAACTTACGACATCATTTAATTTACTTTTATGCTTATTTTTCTTTCACAATTGATGAACTATTAAGCCATGTACAAGAGAGTATGTATTTTCTGAAGCACTTGAAAAAATCAGGTATAAATTTTGCGGTTTGAACATTAAGGATTTTATTTTAGAATAATTTCTTCTAAAGAAAAAGGAAGTTAGAACATGGGTTCTGGAGCCAGGATACCTGAATTTGAATCTACTCTCTGCTACTTACTCATCACATGGCCTTAGGTAAGTTACTTACCTTTGCTGTTGCTCAGTTTCCTAGCCAATATAATAGGATTATTATATTACCTGCTTCAGGAGATCATTGTGAGATTCAAATAATTAAAATATGTACAGTGCTTAGAAGAGTGTCCGATACAGAGTAAGCATGTAGTCTTAGCAGTTACAGAAACTTAAGAGTCAGCAGTCTGTTTGACAAACGTAGTGGAAATAACAGTAAAGATACCCTGTATTTTTATTTAGCCATGGCAGTTTTATTTTTTTTTTATTTTTAGAGACAGGGTCTTGATCTGTCATCCAGGTAAAAAGGCAGTGGTGTAATCATAGCTCACTGCAGCCTCTGACTCCTGGGCTCAAGATGTTCTCCCACATCAGTCTCCCAAGTAGCTGGGACTACAGGTGTGAGATATCACGCCTGGCTAATTTTTGTTTTTTATTTTTTGTAGAAACGGGGCCTCACTCTATTGCAGGCTGGTCTCAAACTCCTGGACTCAAATGGTCCTCCCCAAACCTGGAACTCCTAAAGTGGGTTAGGATTACAGGAATGAACCTCCTCACCTGCTCACATGATAGTATTAATAACTGTGGTCTGTTTTCCAAGACTGTATAAGCTTTCAATTGAAATGGTGTGGTATATCATAAGTAATAAATAAATTTTCCCCAATATTTGCCCCTCTCTGCTTCTAAAGAACCTTTGATCCCTTAAGATTTCTTTCACTTTTTTTTTTTAAGTGTCCCCCGGGGGCATTTCAAATTACACATTTAAAGTTGGCTTTCATCAGCTGTGCCACTGCTGTCCACTCACTCTGGATGAGGGGCTAATGCTTTTGCTTGCTGTTCTCACCGTAGAGCCAGCCTTCCATTGCTTTCTATGCAGTTGCCCTAAGTGCCAACGTTTGCTACTGCTTCAGAGTGGGTACTAATGAAGATACCAAGGCTACCCACCACAGGCTCAGGAAATAAGCTGTAGTGTGTGCCCTAATAATGCTGTGCTGTGAGATCCTGATGTCAAAGCCACACTGCATTATTCATCATTCAGGAAGCTACAACTCCTACTGCAGTTGTCTTAAGATTCTCAGTCTCTCACACTAATTTTTGTTTGAAAATAGTTCTTGAACCTTTTATTTATAGCTTCCGTATCCTTACAACACCTATGCAAATCTATGGGAAGCTTGGACTAGGATACAAACCTAGTGTGAATTTTACTGTGGCAGGTCGGGTGCGGCAGCTCACGCCTGTAATACCAGCACTTTGGGGGGCCAAGGTGGTCGGATCACCTGAGGCCAGGAGTTCGGGACCAACCTGGCCAGCATGGTGAAACCCCATCTCTACTAAAAATACAAAAAGTAGCCTAGCGTAGTGGCGAGTGCCTATAATCCCATCTACTCGTGAGGCTGAGGCAGGAGAATCTCTTGAACCCGGGAGGTGGAGGTTGCAGTGAGCCGAGATCGCAGCATTGCACTCCAGCCAAGGCAACAAGAGAGAAACTCCGTCTTAAAAAAAAAAAAAGATTTTTTATTATGCCATATTCTGAATGTTCAATGTTTCCTGGGATATTATTTTTCACAAATGAAGGTTTCCCAACACCAAAGTTCTCTGTCTTTGGTTAAAAAAAAAAAAAAAAAAAAATTTAATGAATTGGGTCAGCTTGCATAGGTAGGCTCAAGCTGAGACCCAGCTAATAGGAAATGAGAACAAGATTTCCTTATTAGATCCCGTTGCTTGTGAAATATCCCAAGCTACACAGGAGAGTTTATAGCTCTGGATAGAGACGTTCTTATTACCTTGGAGTACTTTGAAATTTATTGCAGCAATGATTGCCTGACATTTTGCAAAAGGTAGATCTTGATTAAATTGTTCTAAATTATATGTGCATTTTAATAAATGTTTTCACTATCATTAATTTTAATTAAATTTATCTTATTTCTAGGGCAAGAAAATAGTTAATTTCCTACTGGCATAAGTTTTAAAATTGGTAATTACTGATTGTTAAATGAAATACTAAACTTTTGCTAAATATCTTATAACTTACAAATTTTGATGCGGAACTGGGAAATGGGTATTTAAGAAAGAAATAATATACAGATTAGATTACCCACTATATTGAGTTAATACTAGTCTTTAACTTTTCATATCAGGGTTTTAAACATTCTGTTTTTCAGCCTCTTGGTTTATGACCTTACAGAAACTTTCAATGAAATTAGAGCCTTGTAATTCTACACAGGGTGCACTTTTTCACTGCATAATAAATATAAAATTGTACCTGTACCTTGGGTCCTATTGCAGTTCACTGGGAGTAGTAATTGAACAAAAACTTTAACTGCTTAAAATATTGAACTGTTTAAATTATTTTTTGTTCGTGTAATAAAACTAATCATGAAACTAAGCCAGTGAAACCACATACTCAGTGTTACAAATAATATTGTTTAATGCTTATATAAAGCTAAGCATTTGTTACCATGAAAAGGCTATTTGTTGAACAGCCAATAAAGTTCAAAGAATTTTATTTTTGCAACCCAACACTTTCTATATGGAGAAAGGTGTTTACTGCAAATTGTGTTCTCTTTTGCCAGTTAGCACTTGCCACTGATTCAGAGTTAGAAGACCCCCTGCCAAGCAAAGTAATGGCTGATAATTTCTTTCCTGCTGATGAAATGGAAAAAGTTATATAAGTTTTGTATTGTGTTTTTGTTGGAAATGATTCAATGTGACATTTTAAGTAATAACATAATATAGAATAAATATTAGGTTAAAAAATATGTTTTTATCATTTTTAATTAACTTCAAAAAATACTGCTACACTAAAAGGTTAGTAGACATATTAGGGGCATGTCTTTTTTTTTTTTTTTTTTTTTTAGAACAAAAGTTCTTAGGAATAGATTTTCTATGCTGATATCATTACAAATGTCACATAAGCATGTTGAAGTGTACCTAATTTCCGTATGAATGTAAAGCAATTGGTATTCCAATGAAAGTTTGTAATGTGGATTCTCTTTTACCTGGGTCTTTTTAAAATTTTATAATTGATCTCTGACAACATAATTTTGTTTCATTTAGGTTGAGGCTTCTCTGTGGGTCCTGAGTTCTTCATCATGACCATAACACAGTAGGCAGTATGTATATGTCTATAGTAGCAAGTAGTAATGTTTTATAATAATGAATCATAAATCATAGTGATGTAAAAGCAGGTTTTAATGTTTAGAACCACATTTTATATACCATTTTAAAATGTGGTATAATTTAATGTTTATTAGTGAGTTATATAACTGGGTTCCACTGTTTTACAGACACCTTGCATTGAGTTTCAATTTTCATTTCATTTTTTTTAATAGAGACGAGGTCTGGCTATGTTGCCTAGGTTGATCTCGAACTCCTGGGCACAAGTGATCTTCCCGTCTCGGCCTCCCAAAATGCTGTGATTACAGGCATGAGCTACTGTGCCTGGCCTCAATTTCCATTTCTTATTTAAGATATGGTTGAACTTCAACTGAAAGTCTGGCATCTAGGTGACTCTTTCTTTCAAAAATGAGATATACAAATCTAACCGATGGCAGTGACAATTTTTAAAATTCTTTGAAATTGTATTAGTCCAAAGTAATCCTTTTTTTTTTTTTTTTTTTTTTGACAGGGCCTCACAGTTGTTGCCCAGGCTGAAGTGCAATGGCATGATCTCGGCTCACTGCAACCTCCCCTTTGAGGTTCAAGCGATTCTCTTGCCTCAGCCTCCCAAGTAGCTGGGATTACAGGCATGTACTACCAAGCCTGGCTAAATTTTTGTATTTAGTAGAGACGGGGTTTCACCATGTTAGTCAGGCTGGTCTCAAACTCCTGACCTCAGGAGATCCACCCACTTCGGCCTCCCAGAGTACTGGGATTACAGGCATGCACCACTGCGCCAGGCCCCAAAGTAATAACTTTTAAAATATAGAAATTATTTTGAAATTAAATGCATATTATTTCAAAAGAACAAAAGTTTGCCAATTATATTGGTATGTTTCAGTGAAACATACTATGATAAACATAACTTCTCAACAACATGTCAAGTATTGCATAGTCCATGTATTAAATATTTAATCTCACATTATAAAAAAAGAAACTTTTATTCAGTGGTTACTCTATCAACAGAATATTAGCCCATTTGCTTTATTTTATAGCTTCATTAATTATTTTTCTCTGATTTGGACTTTCAGGTATATATTACTGTCTGTCTTCTAAAAGTTTTAGTGATAATATAGAATTATTAATATAACCAAAGAGGGCTTCTCATAAAAGAAACTAAAAGTAAGTTGGTAGGGTTCCAAATGTAATTTCAATTTTTTTCTTTTGTTTGTTTGCTTGTTTTCAGATTGTCATTGCAGCAACAGCAGACATTACATAAAAAATTGATCTGTCATATTTTGGGATTAGCTTAGGGCAAGAAGTATATGTTGAAACTTTTTCATACTGAAGTGTGGAATGTGTATGAGCATATCCATACAAATTGAAGCCTATCCATGTATTTAATATTTGGCTTCTTTTTTTTTGGTGATATGTATAATATATTTGTATTTCCATTTTCAGAACTATCATAGAAAAATGGATATTTTCTGGTTTCATCTTTCTAACATATGAGTCAATTAATTTGTTCAAAAAATATGTATTATTATGTACCAGTCACCATGCTAAGCACTAAGAACATAAAAATAAACCATAAGATACTTCATTAGAAATGACAGATATTAAAAAGATAATCACAAAAAGCCTGCATGGTCATTTATAATAAAAATGTGCAGTAGAGGTATCTAAGTGGGAGAAAATAAGCACAAGTCAAGACATGATAAACAGCAAGGTGACTAAAAGCAGTTTGGTATCATGTATCAGATGTAAGAAAAATGTTAAACCACTTTATTGGGATGTAATTTACATACCGTATAATTCATTCATTTAAAATATACAATTCAATGGTTTAATGTTTTTTAGCAAATATGCAGAGCTGTACAAACATCACTTCAATATAATTTTAGAACATCATGAGATATATTTTTAATAGACATTCCAACACATATTATAAATACTTAATATTTTAATTGTCAGTTTAGAAGAAATATTTGAATCATATATGGTATTAACCTTCTTAAAGCACTATTATGAGTTACTTGGCATATTTCACAATTACAAATGACATGTAACTTGAAATTTACTCTTCTGAACTAATGCTGGCTAGATAGGTTGACGTAAAATAAATAGTTTTTCCAGTATTAGTAACATTCAAGGTCACACCTGATGAAATCGGAATAAAATGAGGTAATAAGAAAAATTAAAAATGTATTTTTATAGGCCTACATTTTGTGTATTTATTTTTAGAAGAGATGAATGATTTACTATGGAATATGCAAAATTATATCAAATTCACTTCAAAATTAAGAGCACATATTAATGATCAAGAGTTGTTTATTGATTAATTAGAATATTTTATCACAACATATTCATTTAGAATTTTCTTTTGTAGGATATTCTGGTTTAATTTAGATGTTTACATGTTTCTTAAATAACTGTAACTTTAAATTTCACTGATTTGAAGATCATGTAACACACACATGCGCACACATACACACTTCAATTAATTTATTTTAGCTCACCAGTACCCGCTTGGTCTTATGTAAAAGATAAGTGACATAAGCCGTCTGTAGACAGGCTTTACTTCTACAGACCAATACGAATTTGGAAAATACATTTAAATTACGTCAAGCCCAACACATTGACGGGTAAAGTGCAGGATACAAGTTTGGAGGAAGACAGAAACTGAACTGTGTTTCAGTTAAAATAGGCACATTGATATACTTCTAAAAAATGTGAATTTAAATATACATTTTTGAGATTTGAATTGTCTTTTAGTATATCATTCTCATATAATGATGTATCACACATCACAAATACAATTTTGTTAAATAAGAAAATTAAAATATAGCTGTATCTTTTGTATTAATATCAAGTGATTCATCTAATGATTTATGAAATGCCTACTACTGGACTGTCAAAACTAGAGTTTTTTAAGCCTTCTGTTGTCTATCAGCTGACTTGTCAGGAGAACATATTAACTTAAAAACATGTATAGTACAAATCAAATATGGGTGCAGTTTACTAAAAATTTATGTATTAGAAATATGAAAGAAAAATCTTTGTGTAGTTGTGAAACTACAATTTAGAAATGTATCATTATTAGTATTATTATCACTAAAATTTTAAAAGAGCTACAATAAATTTCTGAAATTTTATTTCCTATGAAATATATCAAGCAATTTATTTAAATAACCCTTCTATTAAAATTTCAGATGGTTTACAGTGGCCCAAAGCAATGGAAAATATTAGAATTTGAATCTTACAAAGAATCCTAGAACTTATGTATTGATACTTGAATTCCATTCACACCTCTTTGACAATTATTCATTCCACCTCTGCTTGAGTACCTTTAGTTATGGGAAAGCGGTGATTCTTGATCTGGTGTAATGTTCTTATTTGAGTAGAAACATGCTCTAGTTTATACGTGATGCTTTCAAATTATGATGCCCACAACTAAATAAATTACTTCACATCACCTCCTTTATTATGAATTGTCATTCATATTCACCAACATCGCCGCAACTTTTTTTACTGAATGTATCACTGGAAAATAAAAACATCTTCTTTTACTCTTAATTCTGAAACAGTTGTGAATGTTTCAATTTGTGTTTTCCAAGATGCAATATGCCTACCAATGGCATTATAAACGTGATTTTAGATGATATATAGAATAACTATTTTCTGTTAATAATTATGTTTTAGTGGTCATGTATATTAGAAAGCAACAGCACATTCTATTTATGATTTAATAAATATTATCATTTAGAACAATATTCAAGTTAGATTTAATTTTAATAAATTAGTGCAGTTGATTCTCATGTATGATGACATGAATAAGAGAAATTTGGCATAATGGGTCTTTGCTTCTAATTGTAGTCCACTTGTGAGAAAGAAATGACTATGTTTGCATGTTATCTTTCACTTCAAAGCAGTGAAAGATTGGAATAGAAGAATGTTAATTTTCTAAAGAAGTATATTGTTTTAGGTTTATTGAACTTTGTACACAGATCCCTTTCCAATGAGTTTTCTTGCCTCAGAAACTCAGGACATGGAATGAAAGCAAATGCTTTAGTGCAGAATAAATCCGGACTAATAAGGAACTCTCTCCTCATAGCCAAACCACAGTAGAATCTCCGTAAAACACAATATAGCAGTAAGTCTGACAGCACAAGGCATTTAGTGGAAAACTTTTAGACGATGGTGGAAAGCATTGAAGAAAAGCAACACACTCTTCAAAATTTGTTAATTTAATGATTCTTGAGAAAATAATGTATTTTTCTTGCTTTTGTATTATATTGCTTTTTACTGGCAGCAAAAAGAGGGCTTTCAACCTAGGGATGATTCTTCAATGAGTATTTCTCCTTCATTTGCAACCATGGTGTCTGAATGAATTATTCTGTTTCTCCAGAAAATTGTCTCAAGTCATCAACTCATATTAACTGTCAGGACTTCCTTGCCTTCTCCTTGCAAGTAAGTTGAAATTAAAAGCTGTCAAACTAGGAATTAGGTATTTGGTAAAATACAGGTTTTATATAAAACATGCAATTCTACTGGCATACATGTCTGAGAAACAAGACCAAACCAAAAAAGCTGTCTAGCTCAGACAATACAAATTGCCAAGTTGCACAATCATGATCCAAATAAATGGTGAAGTCACTAATTTGTGGCATTTGTTACACAGTAAAAGCTAACTGTTACAAGACTTAAACTAACCTGGTTGATTTCAGACCCTGAAAGTAAAATGAACATGATAGTGGGTCAATGAAGCAAGTAAAATCCTTACAATATCCTAAGTTGTATAAATAACAAGAAAATGAGAGGAAAAGCATTAGAACAAAAAAATGTGTGACACAGCAACTGGATTTTTAGTCTGCATTTTACTGGAGTTAGAAATAGATTTACTATGTATGAAACTAAAGAAAGTTGACAGTAAAGCTGTATAGAAATACAACAAAGTCTTCTTTTTACATTGCACCTAATGTAGGAAAACAGAACTCTGAATTAAAAAAAAAAAACAGAGGTCATTTTAGGAAGATTGAAACATCTTAAAGCAATAATCTAATGGAGAAATAACATTGCAGAGTAAGTTAATGGAAATTATAATGAGGGCACAGACGCAATTTTCTCAGGGAAAAATTTTGACAGATTAATGAATAACTTGTTTTAGAAAGAAAAAATTAAACCATATTATTGCTTTCTGATCTTAAGTAGTATTGTTATTCTAATAACATGTCACAAAAAATAGAGATATAGTAACCCTTAAACCATAGCAGTGATTGATGGTCATAAAATTAGGAAAACAAACAGTAACTTTTACACTGTTAGAAAATAAGTTATGTCAACATCTACCTCCAATATAGTTTTATGATTAGGGTGGCATCTAATTTATATGAGGTTGTATGTCAATTCTACTAAGTGGTCAAAAAAAAACCAGTCTTATTATTTTATGTTCATTTGCAATGTGCAAGCTAATTTTATTATATACTATTCTTTCTATTGCTGTGTAACAAACTACCTCGAACATTGGCTTAAAAAATAACCACTTATTTTGCTTGTAAATTTGGGTTTTGGCTGGACTCAAGTAGGCAATTCTTGTTCAGCATCTCTCATTAGATTGCAGTCAAACAGTGGCTGGGGTCATCTCTAAAGTTATTTTTATGGATACATTGTAAGTGTTCATATTTTTTGTGTGTAAGTCAATGTTTTGATGCATATATATGTCATATAATGATCCAATTAGTGTATTTAGCTTATGCATCACCTCATGCATTTATCACTTCTTTGTGGTGAGAACATTCAAAAGACTCTCTTCTAGCTACTTTGTAATATACAAGAACTTACCCTTAACCATCATCACTGTAACTGTGCAATAACATACCAGAACATCCTCTCCTCCCTTCTTTTCTCCCCAGTCTCTGGTATCCAGTGCTCTGTTTTCTGCTTCTGTGATATCATATCTCTCTCTCTCTGTCTCTTTTAAACTTCACATATGAGTAAGATTACAAGGTATTTGTCTTTCTAAGTCTGGCTTGTTTCACTTACCATGATGTCCTCCAGGTCCATCCATGTTGTCACAAATGGCAAGATCGTATTCTTGTTTATGGCTGAATATTATTCCATTGTGATTCTTCATTCAATATCTGGTGCCTGAGCTGGGAAGACTGAAAGAGCTGGAGCTCTGTGGGCATATCTCTCTCTGCCTTGATTTGGTCTGCATGGTATCTCTACACAGCTGCTTAAGACTCCCAAAGCAAGTGTTCCAAAAGAGGCAGCAGAGATTATGTGACCTTTTCTAGCCTATGCAACATGTGACTTATGTTGCATTCTGCTTGTCAAGGCAATTACAAAGCCCCATGCGGTTTCAATGGGAAGAAACATAAGCTCCACTCCTTGATGGGACAGCTATCAAAGAATTTGAGGACATGTTTTAATACCACTATATATACATATATATACTGTATGTACATATAGTGGTATTCTATATATATATAAAAAATATAGTGGTATATGTATATATAGTGGCATATATATATGTGTGTTATACTATACCATACATGTATATATAGTGAGATATATATACATATAAGTAGTGATATATATACACATATATAGTGCTATGTATACACACACACATATATATATTTGTGTTTATGTATTGTATTTACATACCTTTTCTTTTGGCCTACACCTAGCTCCAATGAACACATCACAGACATATTCTAGGAACAGTCCACCTATCTTTACAGATCAAGGGCCAATGGGTTCATTTAAACTTACTGCTTTAATTGTGGACAATATATTTTCATATTTTTCTTCTGGGACTATTTAAAAGAATTAGCATATCTTCATAGAATTTCTTCTTGGTTATGCATGTCTAACTTTTCAGTAAAATTTGTAAAAATAATTTGTTTTACTTTCCAGATGTTATGTGAAATCTGAGGAAGAGTACTTTGAAAAATATTAAATTTGGTTATTCTCCCTTATAAATGAGGTAAGGACTAAAAGAGGTAAGAGAAAAATTAACATACTCTGTCCTATTATTTTCCTATATCTCTATAGGGATATAATATGTTTCATTCACAGAGCAAAATTTTTACCTTTATGTTGAATAAAGTGAATAAAAACCTTGTCGTGTGAAAATGAAAATGCAGCTACTTCCTTAGGTAAATGATTATAATGATTAATTAAATCAGTGATTTCAAAGGTTTTTTGAAGTATTGCTTTGATGTATTGCATTTCTAACATCTTTTAATGGTTTTTCTCGCTTTACATAAAATTAAATAAACAATTTGTGATTCAACTAATAATGAATTGATAAATAGAATAAAAGTTTATCTGAATATGAAGTTCCTTTCAATTTCATTGTAAGCTTATATTTGGGTCAGACTCTAGGAGACTATTTTGGAGAAATAATGAATTTTTCTTCTGTTTTGTTGCACTCATGTAGTTGTTAACAAAATCAAAATTTTGAAAACTCTAAGCAAATTTTTTATAAAGTCAGCACTGTTTTTAGTTAACTGACAAAAAATAATTCTCCCAGCCTTCCTTAATACAAGAACTGCCTTTGTATTAAATAGCTAGAGGCAGCGGGAAAAAAAGAGAAAGGAGTGGGGGAAATTTTACACTTTCCCCATCCAGCCTATAACTATATAAGCAGTTAATTATCAATATGTGAGTAATAAATGTTTAATGAGAAGAAAAAACACTGCAAATCTAAATAATTTAGCTGAGAAAATAACTTCGTATAAATGAAGTATTTTAGGGCTCTTAGGAATAGATGGATAGATAGATATAAATAGTAGATAGAAGCCAATATTGTTTTGTGAACAAAAACAAAAAGAGAGTTTTGATTTTCTAAATCCTTAACCAAAGGTCTGATATATGTGTAGCACCACACATGAGGGAAGCAGGGACCCTCATACAGTGATCTCAGCCTTAGGTATTTAGGCTCCCCCAGTCTAGGCCTATATTCACTCACCAATGCTTTCTTCTTTTTTCTGCATTAGAACCTTCATTCTGTGTTCTAGATCTGTCTGGAACATGCCTCTGAATCCTAAGACAGGTCAGTCCCACAAGTAGCACCCTATATTTCCCACCTGGCACTTATTGTATTTTGTACTTGTTCGTTTGTTTGATTGGTTGATTAATGTAAGATTATAAACTTCAGCAGTGAAAAAAAAAAGTTTGTTTTGCTTATTTTCTATAAGCTTATTTCCTAGCACTGTGTCTAGAATACAGTAGTAAGTCAATAAATATTGTTTGAATTAAAGGATGGCCATTTCTCAGACAGTCTTAATCTTAGAGCAAAGGCAGGGAGTGTCTTCATGATGCCGTAAATAAACACGGTTATATCATTAGTAGAATGCAAAAATCGCATAAGTAAAAGGGAAAGAGGGAGAAAAGAAGAAAAGGGAGGAAGGAAAGAAGGAAGGAAGGAAAGAAGGAAGAAAGAAAGGGAGATAAGAAAGGGAGAAAGGGAGGGAAGGAGAGAGGAAGAGGGGAGACTAAGCAAGTCCTCTCTTTTCCTCTTCCTCTCCCAGTCCAAAAATGCTTTTTTTATCTTCATAACTGGAGGTAGTTTTGCAACTTGGAGCAAGGCATCTGTTAGGCTGCCACCTTCCCATAGAGACTGGGAGATAGGGGCCCTCTCTTCCTAGGACTACATTTCAAAGACATGGCTTATAGCTCCTGGAGAAAGACTATCCTGTGTTGTAAAACTGGGAAGAGGCTTTAAAAAGATTTACATGTCAAAGTGAAAGGGAAAGCATTTACAATGACAGGTTTTCTAAAGTAAAGGCTCTAAAAAAAGGAGGTTGGGGCCTAGTGCCACAAAGAATCCTGCCTAAAACTTAGTTAAGGGGAGAGGAATATTAAGTCTGTCCTGGTCACCTGCAAAAGAGCAATCTCTTCACACTGGATGAGCTATTCTAGGCCTAAAAAGTATTTCCCTGCTTTAAGTCCCTACCCCACAGGATCTCTGCTCATGGTTAAAGAAAAGAAGTTGGGGCCGGGTGCAGTGGCTCACGCCTGTAATCCCAGCAATTTGGGAGGCTGAGGTGGGCGGATCACGAGGTCAGGAGATCGAGATCATCCTGGCTAACACGGTGAAACCCTGTCTCTACTAAAAATACAAAAAAATGAGCCGGCCGTGGTGGCGGGCGCCTGTAGTCCCAGCCACTCAGGAGGCTGAGGCAGAAGAATGGCGTGAACCCAGGAGGCGGAGCTTGCAGTGAGCCGAGATTGCGCCACTGCACTCCAGCCTGGGCGACAGAGCGAGACTCCGTCTCAAAAAAAAAAAAAAAAAAAAAGAAAAGAAAAAAAGAAAAGAAGTTGAAGGAGATGAACTGATCTCTGGGAATAGAGTCTGCCGCCATCCTTCCTGCATCAACCAGGGGTGCTCTTCTCAGGGGTAAGAGTTTCATTTTCTCCCAGTGATATATTCAACCCTAATTAAATCAATTTTCCTAACTTGCCCCTGAACCCCTGGACACTTATACCCTAGGGTTATTTTTTTTCTGGTAGAAAAGTCCTCAGGACTCCATTAGATTCCTGCACATTCTCTGGAGCTGCTGGATCTCAGAACCATCCTGCTGAAAAGTGTTCCTTTCTATTGCTCATCTAGCTATCTCATTGAACCAGAGACCCTAGACCTGACCTATGAGCCCTTCAACTGCCTCCCTCATATCTGGAAGTTCCCAAGCCAGGTTTCTCTGAGCATGGTTTCAGCCAACCGTTTTCTGCCATCAGCCTCTGCAAGATGTGGCTGGACGTCAGCGTCCTTAGGCTAGGGGAAGACCTCTTGCCTTTGCAGCATTGTTAGGGCCTCCTTTATTCCTGAACCCTGCAGAGAACTGATCTTCCTACTGTTTGAGTAACCACTGTTTTGTGGTATTTGTGTGGTTTTGGCAGCCTAGGGCTCAAAACTCAGTGTGCAAACAGCAGCTGGCAGCAGTCAGAGGGCCTGTTTGTTTCTCTCAGCTCTACCTTTTCTGAAGAACCCAAGAGAAGCAATTAGGCCATACTTGAAAGTGAAGCCCTACAAAGAGTCTGCTCTCATAACTTGTCTCTACTCTGCCTTGAACCTCCCAAGAGAATATTACTGCTCCAG
The DNA here is from genome assembly GCF_000001405.40 of Homo sapiens. NCBI lineage: Eukaryota > Metazoa > Chordata > Mammalia > Primates > Hominidae > Homo > Homo sapiens. Next base: position 83,732,754 of record NC_000007.14, read on the forward strand.
CCTCCTTGCCAGGCGCTGCTGGTGGAAATAGAAAACTAAAACTCAACCATTCTGTGTCCAGCAATATCTTGCCCTTACTGTGTCTTTGCAGAGGGCTTCCCTTTTGTTACACCCTGATTCTTGTAAATAGCATATATGGCTAGGTGTCAAGAGAGTTTCATTTGTTTCTTTATCTTGCTCATAATCTACAGAAGGAGGTAGGTTTGCAGTACATTACTTCTTTCAATTTTGAGCTAAATTCAGTATTTCTTACTCTACGGGTAATGCAAAGTAGTAATCTACATGCCAGTACTACCCCTTACCTAACCTTCCTCCAAACTCCATCCAGGTTAGTCAGCTTTTTTTTTTTTTCTTTTTTTAAACAAGGGGAAATTCTGGAGAAAGTCATCCTTGTTGGTAAAGCAAAAAGATAATGTTTTTAATAGAAATGGGTGAAGCAAAGAATGTTTATTCATGCACAGATATGGCCTGATAAAATTTCTTTATAATATTCCTGCTCATGTCAAAGAGATCCAGTATCAAAAAAGGTAAAAGGACTACAACATTCAATTAATAAAATGCAGGCGGGCAAAGACAAGAGGTGGGGACCTTTAAGGAAAAGCACTAACAAGCTGCATGTGGTGACTCACACCTGTAATCCTAGCAGTCTGGGAGATTGAGGAGGAAGGATTGCTTGATACTAGGAGTTTGAGACCAGTCTGGGCAACATAGCAAGATCCCTGTTTCTAAAAAATATAAAAAAAATTAGCTGGGCCTTTTGGTGCATGAAGAAAGAAAGAAAGAAAGAGAGAAAGAGAGAAAGAGAGAATGAGAGAAAGAAAGAGAGAAAGAAAGAAAGAAAGAAAGAAAGAGAGAGAGAAAGGCAAAGCACTAACAAAAACCCAACTATATGAAGAAACATAGGCCATACTCTTGAAGGGATAATTAGTGTAGTTAATATTAATTCTCCCCATACTGATCTATAAATATGTGATGGAATTCTAATCAAAATCCTAATGGTATTTTTCACAGAAATTGACAGGTCGTTCTTAACTCCATATGCAGTATTAAAAGTCCAAAATTAGCTAATGCATTAGCAAAAGGAACAATGGTGGGAGAATACCATTCCAGATAACAAGGTTTAATATAGTGTTATAATAATTAAAACACTACAGATAAATAAAAGACAATACAGAACTCAGAAATACAAACATGAACATGAGGAAATTGAATATGGCAAAGGTGGCGTTCCAAATTAGAAGAAAAGCATAGATTGGTGTTAAAAGAATTGGCTATTCACATGGAAAAAATTAGATAATTATCACATACATAAATTTCAGATAGATTGAAAAATGTGAAAGGTAAAATTATATATTAAAAGCAAAACTTTAGAACTTCCAGAAAAAGTATAGAAACATTCTTACTGTAAGATAGGGAAGAATTTCTTTTTTAAAAAATTATTATTTTATTTATTTAATTTTACTTTTTTAAATTTTACTTTAAGTTCTGGAATACATGTGCAGAATGTGAGGGTTTTATACATAGGTATACATGTGCCACGGTGGTTTGCTGCACCTATCAACCCGTCATCTAGGTTGTAATCCCCCGTTTGCATTAAGTATTTTTCCTAATGCTCTCAATATAGGGAAGAATTTCTTAACATTCCAAAACACAAAACATTAAAAAATATATTTTAAAAAGACCCTTCAGTTCTACTAGTAAACCTAATTTTTGACTTCTTGAACTGATGGTCATTACATGGGTACGTTCACCTTGATATAATTTATTTGCACTTAAGATTTGTTCATTTTTAAAATATATACTTTAGTTGAAAGTTACATTTAAAAATCCTTGTTGACAAAAAAATTAATTAAAAAATTCAAAGCAAAGTCACATTCCTCAAGAAGCTATATTCGACATATTCAATTAATAAAAGCTTCAAAATGACATCAAAGAACTGCAAAAAATAAAAAATGTATATAAAAGTTGCTCCTGGAAATTATCGAATGGCCAATAAGCCTATAAAATGATATTTATTTTCAATAACAACTAGGTTAATACAAAATATAAAGCAGTTTCACTTCACATTTAAAACATTTGGGTAAAAATTACAATTGTTTACCACCAATTGTTAGTGAGCATAAGGAAAAATAGACAGAAAACTGCTATTTCTAGTCAACAACCATTGTTGTGAACATTTAACAATGTAGAGTGAAGTCGCTACAGCTGCATAGGTGTGAGATCCAGCTGTCGGGGCAGTGTTCACATAGATTAAAACGTAAGTTGTGCCCCCTGGAGTTGTGTTTGTGGCAGTCCTGCATATATACCTCAAATCAAAAGATATCACAGTTATACTCTATATAATCATTTAAAAAAATCACATGAGCACAGACAAATTTCAAAAAAGTTAATAGAGCATTTTATTAGAAAAATTTAATGTATATCATTAGAGAACTGATAAAAAATTGACTAATACTTGTTCACAATGTGAGCTAGTATATAACAATGAAAAAGAATGAACAGAAGAATCTCAGCATATATCCATAGGGAGATCTCAAAAATAATTTTGAGTGAAAAAGCAAATTGTAAAATTTCTACAAAGTGTAAAATACAATATAATATATATTTATGAAAATATATATTTGCATAGACTATATAAACATAATAGAAAGATAAAGATACATTTAAGACAGTGATTTCTCTTTTAAAAAGGAAGGAAAGACATTGAGTGAGAAGAAGGCTTCAACTGAATGTAAAGCATTTGTTATTGAACAAATATTTGAATCAAACATGGCAATACTTAGCATGTGTTAACATTGGAGGGGGGAGGACATGGGTATTTCATATTGTTCTTTGTACTTTTTTACTTTGGAGTATTTTATAATCAAATTACAAATGTATAAAGTTGGAAGTGCTCAATTATAATGTTTTTTATGGAAGGCCAAGCAAGATGAAGATGTGACATTGACCAGTAGCTTTGGACAAGAGCTTGATTTTCAAACTTTAGTGTCCATCAAAAACACCTGTAGGACATGCTAGAACACAGATTGCTGGGACCTGGAATTTTTATTAAATAAGCCTAAAAAGAGCTCTAGAATGTGCAGTTGAACAAGGTCCTCGATGATATTGCTGCTGATCTGTGAACCACACTAAGAGAACTACGGGTATAGGTTACAGGTGAACATTGATTAGAGCCTTTTCAGATGAGTTAGTTGAAGAGAAAATATATGGGTAATAATGAACACATTTTTATGGTAAAACTATCAAAAAATAATGTAATGAAGGTAGGAGGTAATGAAGATAGAAAACCATGTGCTCACTTCCTTAAATAGAATATATTTGGAATGTTAGAATCAGAATTCACTTAAGATATTAAGAAGTACAGATACTTAGAAATTATCCCAATTGCTTAATGTTTGATATGAAATATTACCAAACTGAATTGGATGAATTTTATTGGATCATAATTTGTCCAAAACGTCTTTTGAAATACAGCATAGCGTATATATGTGTGTATATACATATATATGCATAAATGTATATATGCATATATTTAGAAATTTATATTGGTTTTCAAAATTAAACTGGTATTTGCTATTTTGGAAACTAATACTAAATTGATATTTGATAAGCAATTAAAACAGTCTTTTAAAATGAGACTCAAATTTCAATATCATATTGGTTTCAAATGCTAAAAGAATTTAAGACTTACTTGCATTTAGCTAAATAACTCTCTGTATTATCTGTATCCTTTGGGGATTAAACATGAATTAGAATTACTCATGGATTTCCATCAAAATCCATTAAGGGAAATATAGCCCAGAGAGATTCTCTTACATCTGACATTGCTTAATGTGCTCACAGTATTAAATGGATACTCTACAACTAAGGATTAATTCATTATATAGAAGTCACATATGTGAATCTGTCTCTTTTTAATATTATTTTCATGCTTAAAATCTGTCATAATAAAATTAAATAGAATCTATATACCTGTTGATTCTTTTTTAATTGGAATTACAAGGTAATTCTTTAAAGCGACTTTTTGTTAATGAACATTTTTTATCTCTAAAAATTTAGGCTAAGAAGTTACAGTTACTTCTCTTTATCCTTCACATGTTAAGTCTTCTTACATTATCAAAGAGGCAGTAACTACACAGCATGAATCTGGTGCCATAGCTATAATTGGCAAAGTGTCAAAATTATCTTGGAGAACTTGTTAAAAATACAGATTTTTAGGTCATATCTCTTTTTCTTATCAGTTATAATTCACTGTATGTTGGGAAGGATCCAGAAGTATGATTTTCACTCCCATGATCTGCCTACAGTGGAAGCTCAGGGCACCAAGGCACCTTAGGGAAAATGGCAGATGTTTCAAGGAGTCCCTAACCTGCACCAAGGGCTCACACTATTTTTCTATTTTTTTCTAATTGCTGAGGTCACGAGAAATACTCACTTTTGCTGATTCTGGAACCTAACATCTTTCCGGCCGTGGAAAAAGAAAAATACCTGAGAAGTAAGTGTGACTTGAAAATATTTAACATCAAGCATGACAACACCTTCCCTCATGAAAAATAGTTTTGCCTGTATGTTCCAGCTGTATCTTTCTTTGAGAAAAGAGTTAAATACGCCTTCTTTCTTTGCCTAAGGCAATACACCTGCATGAACTTTTGTTACCAAAGTGTTGTATCTCTCATGCTTCTAATCTCTTGACAGTTTCACTACTATGCCCCTTCAGTTTTAGTTAGGACACGGCTGATATTCGGCTCTCCTTGTAAACTCTACCAGCTTTACCAGTTTGGGCTTTTCAGGACAAAAGGATGCAAGAAGAAAATGATTACATGGTTCCAAAATGGAATTTTCACTGACTTCTTATTTTAAACATAAGCCTGGAGTAAGCCAAAAGTATGAGTGCACCTGTGTGGGACTTTCACTCTATGCACATCACAATTCTTCTTATTGTATCATTGTTTTAAAATAATCTGGGTATGTGTTTGTATTCTGTGCTAGTCAAAGACTCCTTAAAATTACAGGATATCTTCAACATTAGAAAGACCAAAGGCAGATTCATCATAAGATTATTATATAATATTTATTGAATGCTTGCTAATATTTTACTTAGCAAACAATCATATAGCACATACTGTGGGCACTTTATAAATGGAATCTCACCTAAACCTTCAAAACAGTCCAATGAGGCAGGTACTATGCTGCTTTATGTGAGTTCAGTTATTTCTCTCAGCAGTTACCTAAGATGTAGATTAATATTGTTCCTATTTTATAAACATAGAGAGGGAAGTTTATATTAATGGTATTAGAATCCATTCCGCTTCTGACCTGCTCCGATTATTTATTTATATATGTGGTCTATATAAATGCTGGAAATTACAATGCAAAGGGATACTAGAACCATATTGGCCCTGAGCAATGAGCTAGGCATACAAAGTTAGGATATTTGTTGAGAGAAAGCTTAATCTATCAGAAGAAGAATGACTTGTACTATTAAGCAAAAATTTTACAGATGTATGCCAGCACTGCCCTTTTCTCTGCCTTGGAAATAATGTGGTTTCCTTTTTAACCATGGCATTGTCCTTTGATCTAGCTAGGGAGCCTGGGGAAAAAAAAAAAAAAACACCAGGGAGGAATTCAGCACCTTCACTGGCTGTGTTTGTGTAAACACACAGGAGAAAAACACACCATCAATCAAGGAAAACAGCCCCAGATAAACATGTAACCTGAGGAATATTTTATCTCTTTTAAATTTATTAACATGAATATTTGTATGTTTGTGCTGCCTCCGCAGGTTTGTGATATGACAAAGCCCAGAGCATTCAACTAACTGGAGGGCATCTCCTCACCCCGATTAGGTTGCTATTGTTCTCTGAAGCAGCTGACATTTCTAAAAGAGTTTTTGTTGGATTAATTATCTTCATACATTGAGACCTTATTGTTCAGTTCTGAGGGCTTTTGTTCAAAAGCTTAAACGTAAATAAATAATGTGTCTCCAATTACTGCACTAGAATTGAAGAAATATCCTGAGGGAATAGTAAAGTAAATTTATTCCTGATTGCTCTCCCTCTCTACCCCCACCCCCTCTTTTTAAGTTAATCAAAACTGCCATGAATATTATTTCCTATTTTGGAATAAATTATTTTTCTAAAGCAAAATTTGAGAACCAACATTGCAGTCATCCTCATGTGGCATTTTCACTCTCTTTTCAAAATAAATAATGCCTGTACTTTATTGCAGTATTTTAAAGTTTAGTAAAGAGCATAAAGATTATTAGGTAAAATTCCTTTTAATAGCCATATTTTGAGATTTGTTTTCTATGTGTAAGACCAGCTTTCATGGTGATTACTAATTCTCTCTAGTATCCATATCCCCAACTAGCAGAGCATTAGAACATATAAGAAACAAGATTGGCCAGGCGCGGTGGCTTATGCCGGTAATCCCAGCACTTTGGGAGGCCGAGGCGGGTGGATCACGAGGTCAGGAAATCGAGACCATCCTAGCTAACACGGTGAAACCCGTCTCTACTAAAACAACAGCAACAACAACAAAAACCAGAAAATATTAGCCGGGCGTGGTGGCGGGCGCCTGTAGTCCCAGCTACTCGGGAGGCTGAGGCAGGAGAACGGAGTGAACCTGGGAGGCAGAGCTTGCAGTGAGCCGAGATCGCGCCACTGCACTCCAGCCTGGGCGACAGAGCGAGACTCCGTCTCAAAAAAAAAAAAAAAAAAAGAAACAAGATTTACCACCCTTGACTGTCCACTTTGTATTATAACTTCTTAAATCACTCTATTCTATTCATCGTAGCCTCTACAGTTAAGGGAGTGTGAGATAAAATAGAGGAAATGAGGTTATTCAGGTTGCCTGAGAACATCTAAGGGTAAATTTGGAAATGATTTTCAAGCACACAGAGACTGTGATCTCTATCTCCCCTGAGGTTAGAAAAGGAAAGAGAAGCCTTAAACCACAGCCTAAGAGGATTATGTTGGATATATAATCACAGCAGATCAGAAGCGAAAAAGTCTATAAAATCATCTAGTGTAAACCCTTCTCTTTTCAGAGAGGAGAAAACTGAAACCCACAGAGGGAGGATCAGTGTGTAAGGTTACATTGTAGATGTTGGAACTAGAATCTGTAGATGGACTTTGCTTAAAGTCTCTGTCTCCTGTCAGAGAAAGTAGTTTGATCTGTGGATGGATTACTGAGAGATGATGAGTTTTCCTTTTGAGAGTGACAAGATGTTACAAACAATCCAAGGAACAAGTTATCACCTTAATTTTTCCACAAATCAGCAAAGAACATTTTAAATATTTTTACATGGTCACATTAAAGGTCACATTTCTCCATGGGTATAAAAATTTGTTTGGATTATTTAATCATTTAGGAAATAGCTTGATCACAGTGTCATATACTGTGCTAAGGAGAACAATATAGTGAATCTGCCCTAAGAAACATGTAGCTTAGTGCAATGACTCCCAAATAATGATACATGGATAGGTGCATGCTTACTTGTGAAAACATTTTAAAAGCCTAGAAAGATAATGTGTTTCATAAAACTAAATTTTTGTCTTTTAAAAAATATGTCATTCTTACCTTTTAAGAATTAAAATATCATTCATTTCATTTATGAAATGATGTTAAGAGTAAATCTGATGTTAGGATTTAAAAAAAAAATTACCCCTACTTATTAAAGAAAAAATACTGAATCCATGAAATTTTTAAATCTGGTCTAGTGTGAAAAGACAATTATAATACTGAAAAATAAGCAGTGATAGAGGTTCACGCATTGTGGAAGAACACTGGAACACAGTATCAGATTCATCCACTTTTGACAGAAAACAAAACGATATTATATAAAAGGGCAGTTGGACTCTATCTTATTTAAGTTCTAGGCAAGAGGATGTATGAAGAGAAGCAGCATATGACCCTTTTAATAAAGAGATTTTTGCGGAATAATTGCACAGTAAGTCCATGATTGTATTAGCGACAAGACAGGCTGAAAAATGTACTCTTTGAGCTAGGTATCTAAACATTAGGATTAGTTCTTAAGAATCAGGACAAAATACATAATATGAGGCAATCTTAGTCTTTACTTTAAAATTAAGCACTGAACCAATTGTGGGAATGAGAGAAAATGCCTATTAGGCTGCTGCATGTGTAGGCTGAAAATATTATCTAAAATGAAGATGAGAAACGGGTGAAAAAATGTGTTCCAGGAAGTATTTAGCTAGGACCTGATACCCTCTTTTGAAATAGTAATTAAATCTAGTTGTAAGAAAATAAGATGAAAAAAGGTAAGAGATAAATAGAGTTTGGATTACAGATGGCTTTGTAAATTATATCAAGGGTTTTAGAACTTTTTTTTAATGGCTTTGGGTATTCATTAAAGGTTTTAGCCAAGTGTGTGCTGTGATCTGTTTATGATTTAGAGATAATTTCAGCAGCTTTATAGAAAATGAATTGAAAGGAGTTTAAGACTGGACTCAGAGCAACATGTATTAGACTTTTGCAATAATTCAAATGAGATTTGTCTTCTAAGAGAATAGTGGTAATGGAGCTAGACTGATGTGAGTGGAGCCAAGATATTTAGACAATTGATTTAGTATGTCAGAATGAATGATTAGGTATAATGGAAAAAAGGAGAGAGGATTGAAAGGTCACACCCTAGTTTCTGTGTTAGATAACTAGGTGCATAGTAGAATAACTCCGTGAAAGAATATAAACAGATTTGTAGGGAAAATTCACTTCATTTTAGACCTACTAAATTTTAGACACCTGCTAGATAGACAAGTGAGTATCTCTGGGGACTACTGTATGTGTGCATCTGGGGCCCAGAATAAGTATTTGTGTTGGGATTGTAGTTTGTCTCTTATCACATGTAGGTGCTAGTTGATACCTTGGAGTAGATGATAGTGTGTGCAAAGTAGAAATTGAATGGAGACTAGAACAGAATCCTGAGAAACAACCAATAAAAAAGATGTCTAAAATGATAATAAATAAGAATTACCTTGAGTTTACAAAGAAAACTAGCAGACTAAAATATGACAGAAACAAGAAGAAAATTAGCATTTTAAGAACCAAGTTGGTTCATTGCTTTTACTGCTATGCTGTGGAAATAAGATACAAAATTCAAACTATCGACTTCACCAAGCAACTTTTGGTGATTTGGCAAGCGTAGTTCTCGTAGAGCGTTGTGGTGGAATTCTGACTACAATGGTAATGGGTATGGAAGTGTGGGGAGTGTGGAGACAGGTCTTTCAAAAAGTGTTGTGAAAAGAAAAGCAGAAACATAATGTATAATGACAATGCCAGAGGCATGGAGTTGAGAGAGGGATTTGGAAGAACTACTAGAAAAAGAGAGATTGAAATTACAGGAGAAGAATAGTAAACAAAGCAACATTTCTAGAGAAGTGAGAGGAGATAAAATCCAAAGTAAAGGTAGAAGTCTGCTTCTTAGTGAGAAAAAGGGATATCTTTTCTAGTTTAATAAGAAGAAAGAGAAAAACCATTGGATTAAATACAGATAAACTTGTCATTTGGGGAAGAGTATTGAGAAATTTCTCCTATCATGCTCCCACATTCTTCTCAAAGAAGAGGGTAAATTTGTGAGATAAAAGGCTTATAACAGAAAAAGTATTTCAGGTACATTTTTTCTCATTTTTTCTCACACTTTTTATCATGCTATCAGTTGAGATTACATTCACTTGAAAGTTACAGATACCTGGTTGGATTAATGAAATAGAGATTTGTTTTTTTCATGTGAGAAGAGTAACAAGGGTAGAACTTCCAGTACTGGTATTGCTGCTCTTGGAAGTCATCAAGTCCTTCTCCACCATCCTTTGCAGGTGATTTTTCCTCTTTCTGGTCCAAGATAGCTATCTAGCATCAGAGGTTATAGGCCAAAAAAAAAAAAAAAAAAAAAAAAAAAAAAAGAAAGAAAAAGAAAAAGAAAAAAAGGGAAAAGAGATTTAGGGAAATCTATCTTTTTTTTTTTTTTTTTCGGATGGAGTCTTCCTGTGTCACCCAGGCTGGAGTGCAATGGTGTGATCTTGGCTCACTGCAACCTCCTCCCGGGTTCAAGTGATTTTCCCACCTCACCCTCCTGAGCAGCTGGGACTTCAGGCATGCACCATCATGCCCAGCTAATTTTTGTATTTTTAGTAGAAACGGGGTTTCACCAGGTTGGCCAGGCTTGTCTCAAAGTCCTGACCTCAGGTGATCCACCCACCTCGGCCTCCCAAAGTGCTGGGATTACAGGCGTGAGCCACAGCACCTGGCCTGGAATCTATCATTTTTAGCCGTGCTTACTTCTGCTACAAATAAGACTGGGTTTCTGTTAGATTGTGGCAAAAGCAGTAAGACAGTCTTGTCAGTTATTTAATTTTAAAGTACAATAGTTTGAGCATGGATGAGATAAAAGGAATGGGGAATGGCAGGAGCTAGCAAAGAAAGTTTACATATTATTATTATCAGACACTATTAAATTATTTTATTGGAAGTAACTTTTTACTTTTCGTGTTTTTTTTTCTAAAAAAAAAGGAAATATGATTTTTTCCAAGTAAGGGTAGACTATCAAATGCTTCATATTCCACGCATAAAAGAGTTTGAAAATTCAGTTCTGTGTGATTTGGGGTGAAATAAATGTTAGTTCTGGTAGAATTCATAAATTCTCCTTCCTGCTGATGTCTCTTAAAATAAACTGTTAATACAATGTCAGTGTTAATGAGTAGAGGAGTTCCTATTTATCTTCTAGCCTGCACTGAAACAACTGTAGACAATTTTAGAAATCAATGAATTTCAGTTTAAAACATTACTTCCGAACAATAGAACATAGGTTGATGTAATAAAAATAAGTCTGTGTGACATATATCTATAAATCATAAATTAACAAAAGAAGTAAAGTTTATTTTGTAAGCTAAAATACCCAATTTACTTATAAACAATAAACCAGGAAAGATATTTTCTAAAACTTTACTCTTTAATCAGTATTATTTTTTTTAATTTTATTATTATCATACTTTAAGTTTTAGGGTACATGTGCACAATGTGCAGGTTAGTTTCATATGTATACATGTGCCATGCTGGTGTGCTGCACCAGCAGCTAAATGATGAGTTCATCATTTAGCATTAGGTATATCTCCTAATACTATCCCTCCCCCCTCCCCCCACCCCACAACAGTCCCCAGAGTGTAATGTTCCCCTTCCTGTGTCCATGTGTTCTCATTGTTCAATTCCCACCTATGAGTGAGAACATGCGGTGTTTTGTTTTTAGTCCTTGCGATAGTTTACTGAGAATGATGGTTTCCAATTTCATCCATGTCCCTACAAAGGACATGAACTCATCATTTTTTATGGCTGCATAGTATTCCATGGTGTATATGTGCCACATTTTCTTAATCCAGTCTATCATTGTTGGACATTTGGGTTGGTTCCAAGTCTTTGCTATTGTGAATAGTGCCGCAATAAACATACATGTGCATGTGTCTTTATAGCAGCATGATTTATAGTCCTTTGGGTATATACCCAGTAATGGGATGGCTGGGTCAAATGGTATTTCTAGTTCTAGATGCCTGAGGAATCGCCACACTGACTTCCACAGTGGTTGAACTAGTTTACAGTCCCACCAACAGAGTAAAAGTGTTCCTATTTCTCCACATCCTCTCCAGCACCTGTTGTTTCCTGACTTTTTAATGATTGCCATTCTAACTGGTGTGAGATGGTATCTCATTGTGGTTTTGATTTGCATTTCTCTGATGGCCAGTGATGATGAGCATTTTTTCATGTGTTTTTTGGCTGCATAAATGTCTTCTTTTAAGAAGTGTCTGTTCATGTCCTTGGCCCACTTTTTGATGGGGTTGTTTGTTTTTTTCTTGTAAATTTGTTTGAGTTCATTGTAGATTCTGGATATTAGCCCTTTGTCAGATGAGTAGGTTGTGAAAATTTTCTCCCATTTTGTAGGTTGCCTGTTCATTCTGATGGTAGTTTCTTTTGCTGTGCAGAAGCTCTTTAGTTTAGTTAGATCCCATTTTTCAATTTTGGCTTTTGTTGTCATTGCTTTTGGTGTTTTAGACATGAAGTCCTTGCCCATGCCTATGTCCTGAATGGTAATGCCTAGGTTTTCTTCTAGGGTTTTTATGGTTTTAGGTCTAACGTTTAAGTCTTTAATCCATCTTGAATTAATTTTTGTATAAGGTGTAAGGAAGGAATCCAGTATCAGCTTTCTACATATGGCTAGCCAGTTTCCCCAGCACCATGTATTAAATAGGGAATCCTTTCCCCATTGCTTGTTTTTGTCAGGTTTGTCAAAGATCACATAGTTGTAGGTATGCGGCATTATTTCTGAGGGCTCTGTTCTGTTCCATTGGTCTATATCTCTGTTTTGGTACCAGTACCATGCTGTTTTGGTTACTGTAGCCTTGTAGTATAGTTTGAAGTCAGGTAGCATGATGCCTCCAGCTTTGTTCTTTTGGCTTAGGATTGACTTGGCGATGCAGGCTTTTTTTTGGTTCCATATGTACTTCAAAGTAGTTTTTTCCAATTCTGTGAAGAAAGTCATTGGTAGCTTGATGGGGATGGCATTGAATCTATAAATTACCTTGGGCAGTATGGCCATTTTCATGATATTGATTCTTCCTACCCATGAGCATGGAATGTTCTTCCATTTCTTTGTATCTTCTTTTATTTCATTGAGCAGTGGTTTGTAGTTCTCCTTGAAGAGGTCCTTCACGTCCCTTGTAAGTTAGATTCCTAGGTATTTTATTCTCTGAAGCAATTGTGAATGGGAGTTCACTCATGATTTGTCTCTCTGTTTGTCTGTTGTTGGTGTATAAGAATGCTTGTGATTTTTGTACATTGATTTTGTATCCTGAGACTTTGCTGAAGTTGCTTATCAGCTTAAGGAGATTTTGGGCTGAGACAATGGGGTTTTCTAGATATACAATCATGTCTTCTGCAAACAGGGACAATTTGACTTCCTCTTTTCCTAATTGAATACCCTTTATTTCCTTCTCCTGCCTAATTGCCCTGGCCAGAACTTCCAACACTATGTTGAATAAGGGTGGTGAGAGAGGGCATCCCTGTCTTGTGCCAGTTTTCAAAGGGAATGCTTCCAGTTTTTGCCCATTCAGTATGATATTGGCTGTGGGTTTGTCATAGATAGCTCGTATTATTTTGAGATACGTCCCATCAATACCTAATTTATTGAGAGTTTTTAGCATGAAGCATTGTTGAATTTTGTCAAAGGCCTTTTCTGCATCTATTGAGATAATCATGTGGTTTTTGTCTTTGGTTCTGTTTATATGCTGGATTACATTTATTGATTTGCGTGTATTGAACCAGCCTTGCATCCCAGGGATGAAGCCCACTTGATCATGGTGGATAAGCTTTTTGATGTGCTGCTGGATTCGGTTTGCCAGTATTTTATTGAGGATTTTTGCATCAATGTTCATCAGGGATATTGGTCTAAAATTCTCTTTTTTGGTTGTGTCTCTGCCTGGCTTTGGTATCAGGATGATGCTGGCCTCATAAAATGAGTTAGGGAGGATTCCCTCTTTTTCTATTGATTGGAATAGTTTCAGAAGGAATGGTACCAGTTCCTCCTTGTACCTCTGTTAGAATTCGGCTGTGAATCCAACTGGTCCTGGACTCTTTTTGGTTGGTAAGCTATTGATTATTGCCACAATTTCAGAGCCTGTTATTGGTCTATTCAGATATTCAACTTCTTCCTGGTTTAGTCTTGGGAGGGTGTATGTGTCGAGGAATTTATCCATTTCTTCTAGATTTTCTAGTTTATTTGCATAGAGGTGTTTATAGTATTCTCTGATGGTAGTTTGTATTTCTGTGGGATTGGTGGTGATATCCCCTTTATGATTTTTTATTGCATCTATTTGATTCTTCTCTCTTTTCTTCTTTATTAGTCTTGCTAGGGGTCTATCAATTTTGTTGATCTTTTCAAAAAACCAGCTCCTGGATTCATTAATTTTTTGAAGGGTTTTTTGTGTCTCTATTTCCTTCAGTTCTGCTCTGGTTTTAGTTATTTCTTGCCTTCTGCTAGCTTTTGAATGTGTTTGCCCTTGCTTTTCTAGTTCTTTTAATTGTGATGTTAGGTGTCAATTTTGGATCTTTCCTGCTTTCTCTTGTGGGCATTTAGTGCTATAAATTTCCCTCTACACACTGCTTTGAATGTGTCCCAGAGATTCTGGTATGTTGTGTCTTTGTCCTCGTTGGTTTCAAAGAACATCTTTATTTCTGCCTTCATTTCCTTATGTACCCAGTAGTCATTCAGGAGCAGGTTGTTCAGTTTCCATGTAGTTGAGCGATTTTGAGTGAGTTTCTTAATCCTGAGTTCTAGTTTGATTGCACTGTGTTCTGAGAGACAGTTTGTTATAATTTCTGTTCTTTTACATTTTCTGAGGAGCGCTTTACTTCCAACTATGTGGTCAATTTTGGAATAGGTGTGGTGTGGTGCTGAAAAAAATGTATATTCTGTTGATTTGGGGTGGAGAGTTCTGTAGATGTCTATTAGGTCTGCTTGGTGCAGAGCTGACTTCAATTCCTGGATATCCTTGTTAACTTTCTGTCTTGTTGATCGGTCTAGTGTTAACAGTGGGGTGTTAAAGTCTCCCATTATTATTGTGTGGGAGTCTAAGTCTCTTTTTAGGTCACTCAGGACTTGCTTTATGAATCTGGGTGCTCCTGTATTGGGTGCATATATATTTAGGATAGTTAGCTCTTCTTGTTGAATTGATCCCTTTACCATTATGTAATGGCCTTCTTTGTCTCTTTTGATCTTTGTTGGTTTAAAGTCTGTTTTATCAGAGATTAGGATTGCAACCCCTGCCTTTTTTTGTTTTCCATTTGCTTGGTAGATCTTCCTCCATCCTTTTATTTTGAGCCTATGTGTGTCTCTGCACGTGAGATGGGTTTCCTGAATACAGCACACTGATGGGTCTTGACTCTTTATCCAATTTGCCAGTCTGTGTCTTTTAATTGGAGCATTTAGTCCATTTACATTTAAAGTTAATATTGTTATGTGTGAATTTGATCCTGTCATTATGATGTTAGCTGGTTATTTTGCTCGTTAGTTGATGGAGTTTCTTCCTAGCCTCGATGGTCTTTACAATTTGGCATGATTTTGCAGTGGCTGGTACTGGTTGTTCCTTTCCATGTTTAGGGCTTCGTTCAGGAGCTCTTTTAGGGCAGGCCTGGTGGTGACAAAATCTCTCAGCATTTGCTTGTCTGTAAAGTGTTTTATTTCTCCTTCACTTATGAAGCTTAGTTTGGCTAGATATGAAATTCTGGGTTGAAAATTCTTTTCTTTAAGAATGTTGAAT
The DNA here is from genome assembly GCF_000001405.40 of Homo sapiens. Lineage (NCBI taxonomy): Eukaryota > Metazoa > Chordata > Mammalia > Primates > Hominidae > Homo > Homo sapiens. The sequence continues at coordinate 83,748,074 of NC_000007.14, forward strand.
ATTGCCCCCCACTCTCTTCTGGCTTGTAGAGTTTCTGCCGAGAGATCCACTGTTAGTCTGATGGGCTTCCCTTTGTGGGTAACCCGACCTTTCTCTCTGGCTGCCCTTAACATTTTTTCCTTCATTTCAACTTTGGTGAATCTGACAATTATGTGTCTTGGAGTTGCTCTTCTTGAGGAGTTTCTTTGTGGCGTTCTCTGTATTTCCTGAATTTGAATGTTGGCCTGCCTTGCTAGATTGGGGAAGTTCTCCCAGATAATATCCTGCAGAGTGTTTTCCAACTTGGTTCCATTCTCCCCGTCACTTTCAGGTACACCAATCAGACGTAGATTTGGTCTTTTCCCATAGTCCCATATTTCTTGGAGGCTTTGTTCGTTTCTTTTTATTCTTTTTTCTCTAAACTTCCCTTCTCACTTCATTTCATTTCATCTTCCATCACTGATTCCCTTTCTTCCAGTTGATCGCATCGGCTCCTGAGGCTTCTGCATTCTTCATGTAGTTCTTGAGCCTTGGCTTTCAGCTCCATCAGCTCCTTTAAGCACTTCTCTGTATTGGTTATTCTAGTTATACATTTGTCTAAATTTTTTCAAAGTTTTTAACTTCTTTGCCTTTGGTTTGAATTTCCTCCCGTAGCTCAGAGTAGTTTGGTCATCTGAAGCCTTCTTCTCTCAACTCGTCAAAGTCATTCTCTGTCCAGCTTTGTTCCATTGCTAGTGAGGAACTGTGTTCCTTTGGAGGAGGAGAGGTGCTCTGCTTTTTAGAGTTTCCAGTTTTTCTGCTCTGTTTTTTCCCCATCTTTGTGGTTTTATCTACTTTTGGTCTTTGATGATGGTGATGTACAGATGGGTTTTTGGTGTGGATGTCCTTTCTGTTTGTTAGTTTTCCTTCTAACAGACAGGACCCTCAGCTGCAGGTCTGTTGGAGTTTGCTAGAGGTCCTCTCCAGACCCTGTTTGCCTGGTTATCAGCAGCGGTGGCTGCAGAACAGCGGAATTTCATGGACCGTGAATGCTGCTGTCTGATCGTTCCTCTGGAATTTTTGTCTCAGAGGAGTACCCGGCCGTGTGAGGTGTCAGTCTGCCCCTACTGGGGGGTGCCTCCCAGTTAGGCTGCTCGGGGGTCAGGGGTCAGGGACCCACTTGAGGAGGCAGTCTGCCCATTCTCAGATCTCCAGCTGCGTGCTCGGAGAACCACTGCTCTCTTCAAACCTCAGATGGAAATGCAGAAATCACCCGTCTTCTGCGTCACTCACGCTGGGAGCTGTAGACCGGAGCTGTTCCTATTCGGCCATCTTGGCTGCCAGCTATTCAGGATCCTTTTAGAATTTCCAGTGTTAGTGAGACAAGTGAAGTCTGCTTTGCAACACCTTCACTGATCTGGGATTATATCTAAGCAAAGTGGATGCACGGTGGTCCTTTCAAGAAGGTGTCCCAGGGGAAGATCTAAGTCGTAATCACTTGAAGGGACTCAAGAGCACCACTCACCCTGTGCTGGCCACGTCCCGCAGTCCAGCCCTCACTGGCTGCGTCCGTCTGTTGGTCCCACGAGCCTCGGAGGAAGGACGAGAGATGTCCCCGCAACTGGGACTTGCTCTCAGCGAGGTGACGGGAAGGACTCGAGAGAGAAGCCGATGCGACGGCAGCTGTTTGCGCCGCCTATGCTGCCAATTCCCTGGGGCGTAAGGTGTCCGCGAGGCCGTGTCCTCGAGATTGCGGCGCCCGAAGCGCAGCGCTCGCCTCTGGAGCTGAGGCTGAGCGCCGGGACGTGGTGGGCTGGTGCTGGGGCTGCAAGACTTTGACTCTTTAATTATAAAGGCAAAGATTGAACTATGCTTGCTCATAGGCAAAAATGGAATATTCTTTTTTTTTTTTTTTTTGAGATGGAGTCTCGCTCTGTCACCCAGGCTACAGTGCAGTGGTGCCATCTTGGTTCACTGCAAGCTCCGCCTCCCAGGTTCACACCGTTCTCCTGCCTCAGCCTCCCGAATAGCTGGGACTACAGGCGCCGGCCACCACGGCCGGCTAATTTTTTTGTATTTTTAGTAGAGACAGGGTTTCACCGTGTTAGCCAGGATGGTCTCCATCTCCTGACCTCGTGATCCGCCTGCCTCGGCCTCCCAAAGTGCTGGGATTACAGGCATGAGCCATTGTGCCCTGCTGGAATATTCTTTAGACAAGTTAGTGTAACGTTTTACACAAATGTGTGATTTGGGGTGAAATAAATGTTAGTTTTCGTAGCATTCATAATTTCTCCTTCCTGCTGATGTCTCTTAAAACAAATAAACTGTTAACACAACATCAGTGTTAATGAGTGGAGGACTTCCTATTTATTTTCACCATTGCAATTAGTTTTATGTTCAGATTATGTAAAAGGTGTCACTAGTAGATGTCTGAGAAATAAAATACTGATTTTACCGTAGAATGCTTTTTAACTTTGAAGAATTAGGGTTAGGTTTCATATCTAAACAATGATGAGATCTCTGTTTTTCAGACTTGAAATATGCATATAAATCTTCAATATTTGAGGAACTGTTTAAGTTACATAACGTTTTAAATTTTATAACTGGAATATGTAATCAAGCCAATCTTCAAATTTTCAACATGCTTATAATCCTATCTAGAGTTATTTAAATTTAGATACTAACTTTTGAGGCCCTGCATGGTGGCTCACGCCTGTAATCCCAGTACTTTGAGAGGCCAAGGCAGGTGGATCACCTGAAATCAGGAGTTCCAGACCAGCCTGGCCAACATGGTGAAACCCTGTCTCTACTAAGAATACAAAAATTAGCCGGGCGTGGTGGCACGTGCCTGTAACTCCAGCTACTCTGGAGGCTGAGGCAGGGGAGGAATCGCTTGAACCTGGGAGGTGGAGGTTGCAGTGAGCCTAGATCACGCCATTGCACTGCAGCCTGGGCAACAACAGCAAAACTTCATCTCAAAAAATAAAAAAACAACAACATAAAAAACCATTGATTGGATTTTCCATATTATGATTGACCATCTAGATGTGTCTAAATTCCATTTTTATTTTTCTTTGTTTTATTTAATTTTTGCTTGTTTTTAAATTACAATCTGATGTATTCACAAGTAGGTAACCTAAATTTATTTTAGTGGGATCTCCATATTAAAGTAGCTTGATGTAGATATTCGCACTCCATTTTAGCATTAATTGTGTATATTTTATTTAGTCCCAGGAATACTAGTACATTATTTTCTCTTTCAATTTAAGGTAAGTGTATATAAACAAGTGTCATTGCTTATGGCATGTATGTGTGTGGGAGGTAAGGGGAGGGAGGGAGGGAGTTTCTCCACTTATGTTTTGCATTCCATAGTTTTACTATAATATATTGACAATACTGTGTGGCAAGTTTCCAAAATCCAACTTTGATCTCATTTTGTGGGTCTTCCAAATTACTCAGAAGGACAAAAACAACAGTGAACAGTGAGTCATTTTATTTATAAAAAACTCTGCCTTTCTGTTTTTAGAACTTAGTGGACCTTCTCTTTCCTGCTTAGCAGGCAACTGCAGTTTGTAAGTTAGATCTGTGTTTTGTTTCTTCTGTACAATCTAAAAGTTTACAAGTTAATATGACATGGAAAATCCAGTTTATAATAAAGTTACATGATGTTCATTAATTGTGAAGTGAATAAAATGAATTTCTTAGTAGCAAATTTTGGAGGACAAAAATATATCAAAATATAAGGTTTAATAGACAAATTTTCCCTACATAACCGCATATTTTCTTTAAGGATGATCTTTTTATAATTTCATTATTTGGTAAACAGTTTGCCTTTGAAAAGTGAAATTTTTGTATAACAGCATACAAAAAATGAAGAACAATATTTAATAGGTAATATATTTACAGAGTTCAAAAATAGTAAACTGTTAATGAGCTGTACATTGAAAATTCTCCAATTTGTCTGTTTTCTGTCTATACGTTATACACCTCACTCCTACATAACTTCTATCGTTAGTTCTTGTACATAATTCTTGTTTTTGTCCTTCCTTTCTTTAAGCATACACAAATGAACATAAGTATGTATTTTTAATACTCACTTTTTTACATAAAATGTAACATGCATGTTTTGATTACTCATTTTTACCCCTTTACAATATATCATGGAGGCCTTTCAGCATCGGTCTCTTCATGGAACTTAATAAAAAGACACTTTTACTGGAGAGGAGTGAAGTTAGAATAACCGCTGAGGCATATATAGATATAGTACTTAAATCATAAGCCCCAGGGCAATAAAATTATGTATTATCCTTGAAATTAAAAAAATATAATATAACAGTAGATTTTCACTGATCTATAGTTTTATCATAAAATTTAACATCAATATTAATTCTCCCTAACCAATAATAAATCTATATTTCAAGTGTTATTTTAATTGCACGATAAGTCTAATTAAAAAAACAGGTAACATTCTCTATTATTTTAAGGAAATTATTTCATATAAAGTAAGATAATGAGAAGGGTCTGTACAGGTACATCATACAGAGTGGGAATCTCTGAACAACTAAAACTAAAATGAGGGGTTACTAAAGTCTAAATATGTTCCCCCTAATTGATGTGTTGGAAGCTTAATCCCCAGTGCAACAGTATGGCAAGGTAGGGCCTGATGGGAGGTGTTTAGGTCATGGAGGCTTCAACCTCATGAATAGATTAATACAACCATAAAAAGGGCTGGCAGGAGTGGATTCCCTCTCTTCTGCTTTTTGGCTATGTAAGGATACAGCCATTCCTCTTCTCTGGTGGATGTAGTAACAAGGCACCATCTTGGAGCAAGAGATCGAACCTTCTGGTGCCTTGACCTTGGACTTCACACCCTCTAGAACTGTGAGAAATAAATTTATTTTCCTTATAAGTTACTCAGTCTTTGGTATTCTGTTATAGCAGCACAAAAATTTCAGGATATTGAATGAAACTAAATATGGACTAGACCTTTTCAAATATGGATTAGAAACTTTTCAAATTGGAAGAGATAAGCCATTTGAAAGGCCAAGTTAAATGAAGACTAAATTAGGATTAAAAATAACATTTTTATTGTAATATACCAAATTTTAAATTATAGAGGAAAATTATTTACTCTAAATGATTTTTACTCTAAATGAAGTATTCACTCTAAGAGATGTTATCTTTTGTTAAATATATATATTTAATTTTGGTGGTCATGAGGAAAGACTGCTAAAAAATCTTTAGCTTCAAAAGGGAAAAGGACTTACTAAAAATGTTAAAAATAGACTTAGCATGAGACCCAGCAGTTTCAATCATAGGTATATACTTAAAATATTTGAAAACAGATTCTCAAAAAAAAAACAAGCTTGTACACTCATGTTCATAGCAGCTCTGTGAACAATAGCCAAAAGGTGGGGAAAGCCCAAATATTCATCAATGGATAAATGCTTAAACAAATTATGGTACATACATACAATAAAATATTATTCAGCCATAAAAAGAAATGAAGTGTTTATGCAGATACAACAGTGGAAGAACTTCACAAACATTAAGATAAATGAAAGAAGTCATACAAAAAAAGGTCACATTATGATTCCATTTATAAGACATGTCTGGATAAGGTAAATTCAGAGACAGAATACAGATTCATGATTGTCAGAGGCTAAGGGGAGGGGACAAGAGGGAGAAACTGCTTAATGGATACAGAGTTTTATTTTGAAGTGACGAAAATAATTTAAATCTAGATAGATGTGGTGATTGTACAATATTGTAAATGTCCTAAATACCACCAAATTGTCCTTCCTGAAATGGTTAACTAACTTTATATTTTATAAATTTCATCTCAATACATTTAAAAAAATCAATTCTAGAGTCATGGCCAGAGGCAAAATAAAACTTATTGAAATTATTTTTTTTCTATTTTCTCTCATTTATTGTAAGCAAAATAACAGGCGACTTAATAAGCAATCTATACAGCTTTATATATTGTCAGGATTTTTTCTTGGGGAGCTATTCTTACCCTGTTTAAAATAACATACTTTACCAATAAGTTGCATAAATATGAATAATATATTTGCAGCAAGATGCTTTTGATTTTAGTACAGTGTATTTTCTCATTTAATATTGTGAATATTAGCATTTGACAAATAATGTTAATTTGTAGAGGAAATTCCTTGACTACAGCACATATTCCTAAGTGTTTACAAGATGGGTTTTAGAACAGATATGAGAATATTCTATCTTTCATTAAATTTTATATATATGTAATATTTTTAAGCGTTATCTATATTAGTCTGTTTTCACACTGCTAATAAAGACATACCTGAGACCGGGCAATTTACAAAAGAAAGAAGTCTAATGAACTTACAGTTCCACATGGCTGGGGAGGCCTCACAATCATGGTGGAAGGCAAGGTGGAGCAAGTCACATCTTACATGGATGGCAACATACAAAGAGAGAGAGCTTGTGCAAGGGAATTCCTCTTTATAAAACCACCAGATCTCGTGAGACTTATTCACTATCATGAGAACGGCATGAGAAAGACCCACTCCCATGATTCAATTAACTCCCACTGGGTCCCTCCCATGACACATGGGAATTGTGGGAGTTACAATTCAAGATGAGATTTCAGTGGAGACACAGCTAAACCATATCAGTATCCTATTTGCATTCATGGAAGGGGAGGAGGAAATAATGGCTTCTAACCTTCTATACACCTGCCATAGTAGCTCCATTTTTACATCTCTGGCCACAAGAATTTTTATGTGAATATTGTCTTTTTCCAATTATTAATACTTTCCTAAGCCATTTTTATTTCATTTTAATAAATTCAGTAAATATCTTAAAAAAAAAAAAAAAGGAGAAGAAGCCATGCATGGTGACTCATGTCTATAATCCCAGTACTTTGGGATGACAAGGCAGGAGGATCACATGAGCCCAGGAGTTCAAAACCAGCATGGGCAACATAGTGAGACCCAATTTCTACAAAATATTTTTAAAAATTAGCCAGGTGTGGTGGTGCTCACCTGTGGTTCTAGTTACCTGGGAGGATGAGACAGGAGGATGGCTTGAGCCCAGGAGTTGGAGGCTGCAGTGAGCCATGTTCTTGCCACTGCATTCCAGCCTGGGTGACAGAATGAGATCCCATCTCTAAAAAGAGTGGATAATAAGTCACTTAATTACTAAAGTTACTAAAATCACTGAGTCTAACAATGGTAAACCTCAAATTTTATTTTGTAAATTTGGATAAAAGTTTGCTACAGAGATTTACTTATTAAAATTATATACTAGAAATTAAAGTAGATAATTTGGAAAACAAACATGTTGGGAGAGCTGGAAAATAGCTGTCTTTTTCTGTACTCTGGGTGTAAAAGAAGGTTGATGATTTGGGCATTGTAGAGTTTAGTTGTTTTCCAACTTAATGCGTGTTGACATTGATGCCCTCCCACAATGTAGAGGACTTTAAATATAAAGCTATAATTTGGATGTCATGTGGTTCAGAGATCTGAAGAAAAATCAGGTTTTACTTCACAAATCCTTAAACTGTAAGGGATTCTAAGAATTCTTATTTTTCATATCCAAGGAATATAATCAAGCTTAGTTTCTGGGTCTGAATTTTAAAATCTCATACACGAAGTAAATATTCTTCATAAGAATTAGTTAGGACACATAAGCTAAGAGAATTTTGTCCGACTCAGCAACATTGAATGTCAGGTTCAACGTTTAACATTCAACTAGCTGAGCAGGAAAATATACATATGTATATTTTGTTTTGTTTTCCTGTAAAGTCTAATACAGGTAAGAAAGTGATTTGTTGAATGAAGTATTTACTTTGCAAAGTAAATGGTAATTTTGGGCCAAATTTTTCCTTTTAAAAAAAATTTATGGCCAGGTGCAGTGGCTCACACCTCTAATGTTAGCACTTTGGGAGGCTGAGGCGGGTGGATCACCTGAAGTCGGGAGTTTGAGACCAGCCTGGCCAACATGGTGAAACCCCATCTCTACTAAAAATACAAAAATTAGCTGGGCGTAGTGGTGGGTGCCTATAATCCCAGCAACTCGGGAGGCTGAGGCAGGAGAATCGCTTGAACCTGGGAGGCGGAGGTTTCAGTAAGCCGAGATCACGTCAATGCACTCCAGCCTGGGTTACAGAGTGAGACTCCATCTCAAAAAAAATTTACTCAGCTCATATGGCTTTCCAACTACAAAAGGGCATGGTTTTTATGTTTATTAGAATAGTTGGTGTATTATTCTAGTGTATATACCATGCACAAATTTTATACATACTTAGCTTATATTCTTAGGAAAATAGTGTGCACTGTGGAGATAATTTCATTAAGATAAAACTATTGTCATCCCTTTGTGTCTAGAAAAATTTCATGCTATTATTAACCTGTGCTTAAATTTCTATATAGCTTGTCTTGACCACAAAATCTCATTTTATAATTTGTTAATCAACATTGATTTTTAATTTTTGGTTTAAAATTTTACTTTAAGTTCTGGGATACATGTGCAGAACGTGCAGGTTTGTTACATAGGTATACATGTGCCATGGTGGTTTGCTGTGCCTATCAGCCCATCATCTTGGTTTTAAGCCCTGCAGGCATTAGGTATTTGTCCTAATGCTCTCCTTCCTCTTGCCCCCCTCCCCCAACAGGACCCGATGTGTGATGTTACCCTCCCTGTTAAGAAGTTCAGTCTTATCTGAAGGTCTTATCTGTTTATTTATTTATTTTATAATTGTTATTTTTTTTTTAGAGACAGAGTCTCACTCTCTCCCCCAGGCTGGAGTGCAGTGGCGTGATCATAGCTCACTGCAATCTCAAACTCCTGGGCTGAAGCGATCCTCTCACCTCAGCCTCCTGAGTAGCTGAAACTACAAGCATGTGCCACCATGTCCAGCTAACTTTACTTTTTATGTAGAAAGGAGGTCTCACTATGCTGCCCAGGCTAGTCTTGAACTCCCTGGCCTCAAGCATCCTTCTGCCTTGGCTTCCCAAAATGCTGGGATTACAAGTGTGAGCCACCATGCCAGGCTGTGATACTGTATTTAAACAGGGACTTCTACAGGCTATTGTCACTTAAATGCAAATGAAAAGGGAAGGCAAAGGAGGGAGGGAGGTAGAGAGACAGAGAAATCATAAATATAAATAATTCAAGTGCACAATTTCTCAACCTTAGTATGCTTCTTTTCTCTTATATTGCAGTCTCAGATTTTCCAGCAGACAGTTCTAATCAGAGCACTAAAACCAAATTCTCATGTGTATAATTAAGTTCTATCTATTTTAAACACCTCTTATGTTGTGGGACCTGACCTGGTCAATGATGTTAGGCTTTCATTTCAGAGGCAAGTCTATTTTCTAAAATGACTCGGAAGTCTGGCCAAGCCATGTAGGCCTTGTTGCTTTTTTGAGGACAATGAAATAAAGCAAAACCAAAAACCTGACAAATAAGAACAACTCAATATAGGCTGTTTTCCTACAATGATGAGTGTGCTGAATTACAGAACTCATTTTCAAGGGAGGAAATCCTGAACAGCATCATCCAATAATAAATATAAAAGTGCACTGAAGACCATTTGATGAAATGTCTGTATGCTTGCATCAAGTTTTCACAAAGATGTAAACAAAATTTCATATGTCACATTTCATCTCAGTGTGTTGTGTGACTAGCTGGTGTATGCAATTCACTACATCTATTTAAAATGTTTTACGCTTTGCTGTGAGTTAATTTTGCCTCCTATTATATACCACTATGTTGCTCATGTATTCTTTATGAATTTGTATTCATTACCACCTTTGGTTGCTAAAAGTTGAGGCAAACCAGCATTTCAGCTCACCAATCATTGTCATTATCAATTAGTGCAAGACTGCCCTTGGTTCATTTTACCTACTTCATTTCATTCATAAGAGAGATCATTTCATTCATAAGAGAGAGAGATCTCATTCATAAGACAGAGATCGTTTATCTCAATGATCTCTCTCTTATTCCACTTCCTACATAGGCATTTTCTTTTGTATGTTTGCTCTATGTCCTTAAACATTTATTATTGGAAAGTATGCAGTAATTTCTCTCTCTCTCTCTCTCTCCCTCCTTTTATTTTTTTAGAGATGTGGTCTTATTATGTCTCCCAGGCTGGTCTTGAACTCCTAGTCTCAAGAAATACTCCGACTTCAGCCTCTGAAAGTGCTGGGATTACAAGCATTAGCCATTTTTACCTGGCCTGTCCCTTTAAAATTTTTGTATTTATTTTACTGCTTTATTCATTGAACACTGTTTTTGAGGTATATTTATGTTTCTGTCATGTATTTAGTTCCTTATACAGCATTGTTTTCCTAGTGGGCAACTAACTATGTTTTACTTTTTCATTTTCCCAATGAATTCCTGTAGGTGCTTCCAACTCCCACAACAACGAACATTGCCTTGAAAAACTTATTGTACAGTCCCCATGTGAAATCATATGAGAATTTTGCTATTATTTTGCTAGCTTTTAATGTGTTCATCATATATAGTTCAGAATTGCAACAGAACAATGACTGCTATGTATTTCTCTTTCTCCCATTTTTGTGAAGAGGAGCAATTACTGTGACTCTGCTGACCTTGCTCCACTAGGGTATACTGGCAGCATGGGAGGCAGATGGCTTGTAGTTTGTATTTCTCTGGATGGAGAGGAGATGCATCTGGACTTGGTATAGAGACTATCACACATTGTCCAGAGTTACTATGCTTCTAGCTTGATGCTCTGACCAGATGAGACTTTGGGACTGAATGTAGTTTGGCTGAAGGAGGGAGAGTGAGCCAAATGACCAGAAGAGCAAACTGTGGTTACCATTAATTCTGCTCATGAAATGTCTCTGAGTCTCTGCCTTTTGGTCAAATGATAGTGTGATATCATGTGACAGAGGGGATATCCATCAATTCTGGCTCAACTATAGAATTGTTAGTGTGAGATCCTCCATAATGCTCTTTTTGTCTGTCACAATAACCAGCAATATCACAGATGTAGTTCTCTGTCAGTCTATGTGCAGATATGAGGACCATACCCAGAAAGCCCTCCACAAGACCCATCATGGGCGTGTAGTATAAGAATAAATCTGTGTTGGTTTAAGTCACTGAGATTTTGAAAATATTTGTTACCAGAGCATAACCCTGCTTGTAACTCATAGGATATGGATACTTAAAGAGTGGGATCACTGGGTCTTTAGGCATCTGCATATAAGTTTGCTAAGTACTTCTAAGAGTACTCTAAATTCTTGATAACACTTGCTATTATCATCTCTTTAAAATTTGTCATTCTTTAATATGTAAGGGGCCAACATTTTCTGTATTTTCTATTAGGAAGTTTGTGAATGTATCTTTGCTTTTATTATAATCTCACATTTGCTATTGCTAGTGTAGAGGTGAGTTATTAGTTTTCGTAAGTTGGTCTAGTATTGGTGAATATTTCTGGACATTCTTACTCATTATTTGTGGGGGGGTTGTTTCTGTGTAGGTGACCATGCAACAATGACAGTATTATATCTCCCTTCCAATGTATAAACCTGCCATTTTCTTGTCTTGCAATATTAATGAGAAACTCTAATACCATGCTAAACAAATAGCATAGTTACTCAGATCCTGAATTTAATGACTCCCAATTTTTTAAGTTAAAGTAATAGTTGCTATTATTTATGGTAGTTGCCTTGTATTTCTATATTCCATATATATATTTTTTTCTTTTTTTTGAGACAAAGTCTCACTCTTGTCCCCCAGGCTGGAGTGTGATGGTGTGATCTCAGCTCACTGCAACCTCTGCCTCCCGGGTTCAAGCAATTCTCCTGCCTCAGCCCCCCAAGTAGCTGGAATTACAGGCGCCTGCCACCACGCCTGGTTAATTTTTGTATTTTAAGTAGAGACAGGGTTTCACCATGTTGGCCAGGCTGGTCTAGAACTCCTGACCTCAGGTGATCCACCTGCCCCAGCCTCCTAAAGTGGTGGGATTACAGGAGTGAGCCACCACGCCCGGCCATTCCTAGTATATTTTTTAACCATAAACAGGTGTGGAAGTTTATCAACTGCTTCCCCCTGCCATTTAATCTTTTAATGTACTCGATTATATTGAATGTTTTAGAAATATTTTTATTTATGGGATAAGCCCTACTTGAAGATAATGCATTGTTTTTAATATACTGTTTTACTTAGCTAGTATTTTATTAAGGATTTCTGTATTATGTTTACGAATGAAATCTACCCACCACTTTCTTATGTTTTTAAATAGTTGTGGAATCAGAATTAAATTGGGCTGGGTGCAGTGGCTCATGCCTGTAATCCCAGCACTTTGGGACGCCTGAGGATCACCTGAAGTCAGGAGTTCAAGACCAGCTTGACCAACATGGCGAAACCACGTCTCTACTAAAAATACAAAAATGAGCTGGGTGTAGTGGTGCAGGCCTGTAATCCCAGCCATTTGCAGGGCTGAGGCCAGAGAATTGCTTGACCCCGGGAGGTGGAGGCTGCAGTGAGCTGAGATCATGCCATTGCACCCCAGCCTGGGTGAGGGAGCAAGAATTAAATTAGATCAAAAGACTATGTTGAATAACTTTTTTATCCTTTCTGTTTTTCATATTATCATGAATATATTGAAGATCATTTATTCATTAAATGTTTGATAAATGTCATTGGAAAACTGGGGCTTTGGAAAGCTTTTTATAGGTAGATGTTGATTTCTCTTCCCATGTTTTTTAAGACACTGGTCTACTCAAAGTTTCTTATTTCTTTTTGTGCCAATACTGAACTTATGTTTTCTAGGACCTTATCTACATTATCTAGATTATGGAATTTATTGGCAGATGCAGTTGGCCTTTGAACAACACAGGTTCAAGCAGTGCAGGTCCACTTATATGTGAGTTTTCTCAATAAATGCAGTTGGCTCTTTGTATTGGTGCATTCCCAGTTTGCAACCAAATGCAGATCAACAGTAATCACAGAAAGCTAAACCCACCTATGTGAAGGGACAATTTTTCCTGTCCTAGTGTTCTGCAGAGCAGACTGTGGGACTTGAGTATGTGTGGATTTTGGCATCTGTGTAGGTCCTGGAACCAATACTCCATGGATACCTATGAATGTTTGTAATCACTTTTATGTCTTTGAGCATTTTAATTTTTATTATCTAGAGATATTCTCCCTTTTGTAATGTAGCTTGTATCTTGTGATCATCTGCCTTTTCATTTTGATCATTATTGCTGTATATTGTATGTTTTATCTAGTTTTTCAAAGACTTTTGTCATCTCTGTGTGTTGTGCTCCTTTTCTGTGCTCCTTTTCTTAGCCATTTCCTTTTACATTGTTTCTATGACTCTATTTTTATTACTTTCCTTCATAACTTCTTAATTGGAATGCCCATGAGGTATTGTTTGTTTTGAGTTTTCTGTTTTCTGACATAAACTTTCATTTTTATTTTTTTCCCCAACTTTAATTTTAGGTTCAGGGGGTAACATGTGCAGGTTTGTTACAGGGCTAAATTGTATGTCTTAGGGGTATGGTTTACAGATTGTTTCTTCACCGAGGTAATAGCATAGTACCTGATGGGTAGTTTTTTGATCCTTACCCTCCTCTCACCCTCCACCCTCAAGTAGGCCTTGGTGTCTAATGCTCCTTTCTTTGTGTTCATGTGTACTCAATGTTTAGCTCCTGCTTTTAAGTGATGCAGTATTTGGTTTTCTATTCCTGCATAAATTCTCTTAAGATAATGGCCTCTAGCTCCAGCACTATACATGTTACTGCAAAGGACATCATTTTGATCTTTTTTAACTTTTATGATTATAAATTTCATTCTGAGTATTCATATTCATTTAGTTATGTTCTACACTCTCGAGATGTAGTTTTTTCTTGACTTTTTTTTTTTTTTTTTTTTTTTTTGATGGAGTCTTGCTCTGTTGCCTAGGCTCACTGCAACCTCCACCTCCCGGGTTCAAGTGATTCTCCTGCCTCAGCTTCTGGAGTAGCTGGGATTATAGGTGCGTGCCGCCACACCCAAATAATTTTTGTGTTTTTAGTAGAGACGGGGTTTCACCATCTTGGCCAGGCTGGTTTCCAACTCTTGACCTCAAATGATCCACCAACCTCAGCCTCCCAAGGTGGTGGGATTTCAGGCATGAGCCACCAGAGCAGGCCACTTGGCCATTTTTAAATAAGTATTTTGAGTATTATAATTTTCTTTCCTGTAGTTTCCTTTTTAACTAAAAACATATTAGCAGTACTTTAATTATTTTATAACTTAAAAACTATATTAAAATTTAATTTTACAAGTATTTATTGAGTGTTTACTATGTCTAGAATTGGGGAACTTGGTGCACAAAGCAAGCTAATAAATACCAGTTTCATAATACCTATATTCAAATGAGGAAGACAGAAAATAATAAATATCATTATTAAGTTATATAGTATGTTATATGGTGATGAGTGCTACAGAGCAATACAGAGCTGAGAAAGGGTGATTATCAATTGAGGATAAGGCCACGTGCAGTGGCTCACACCTGTAATCCCAGCACCTTGGAGGCTGAGGTGGGAGAATCACCTGAGGTCAGGAGTTTGAGACCAGCACTCCAGACTGGGTGACAAAACAAGACTCCATAAAAAAAAAAAAAGACAAACAAAGCTTTCAATTTTAAAAGGAATAGACAAAGTTTAGCCTTATCAAGAAAATAATGTCTGAGCAGACTGAACTTCAAGGAGTGGAATAGAAAGGAGACCTGTGGGGGTATGAATAGAGTGAGGAATAGGGAGAGTTCCGTTTCTATTCTGTGACATGGTAGTTGAAATCACCTGACAAGAGGAAGTAAGTGAAGTACTGAGATTGCATGGTGGTTTTTTTTTTGTTTTTTTGTTTTTTGATGGAGTCTTGCTCTGTCACCCAGGCTGGAGTGCAGTGGTGTGATCTCAGCTCATTGCAACCTCTGCCTCCCAGGTTCAAACGATTCTCCTGCCTCAGCCTCCCAAGTAGCTGGGACTACAGGTGCCCACCACCACGCCTGGCTAATTTTTGTATATACTTTTTTTTATTATTATTTATTTTTATTTTTATTTTTTAGTAGGGACGGGGTTTCGCCATGTTGGCCAGGCTGGTCTCGAACTCCTGACCGTAGGTGATCCTCCCACCTCGGCCTCCCAAAGTGCTGGGATTACAGGTGTGAGCCACTGTGCCCGGCTGAGAATGCATGTTTTTAGGAAAACTTTGAAGGTTTGAAATAGTTATTGTAGACAATGAAGAAGGAGGTGACTAGGAACCCCCACATGCATTTCTGTACAGGGTTGAGGGGGAAGCTTGGCTTGAAGTCCATGGGCATCTAGCAAAATCTTTTGACACATGAAATTTTTCCAAAATGGTAAGTATCTCAAAAAGCATACAACTGGACATCATTAATTGGAGTTTTCCCAGGTGGATGAAGGGAAAGAATAAAGAGGCCATCATTGGCAAGAGATTGAATGAGTTTTTCAATTCGGTTTTATAGAAATTAAGTAGTTTTTTGTAGGGAGGCAGAGAATTCTTAGATAATGGAGAAGTCCCCTGAAAAATTAAAATATGATATAGGCATGGATGCACATCTGTGAGGTTTTTTTTTCTGCTAGAATAAGAAACCTTTTTGCTTATATTTGTGATGGTGCGGGACTGCATAGTCAGCAAAGGTGACTTAGCAAATAAGTCACTAGGAAGAAATAGGAGTTTCTATTATATTCCTTTGAGGAAAAAGAGGTCTTCTTACTAGTGACTGGTATTATTGATCTTCAAGGAGTAGCAACCCATTTTGTTGTTGTTGCTAAGAATAGGGTTCAATATGGCTTTTCCAATGGATCATAAAATCCCACCATTCTAGTATAGCACCAGAATGAACTTTTAGGTAGGTCTTTACAGCCTAACAAGGAGACAGAAAGAACACAAATAAAGAGATAGTGGGCTTGGGAAAGAAAAAGGAGAAAGCACTGGATGTAGGGAATATGAAGGACTACTGGGCCTCTTTTCTGAAAGTGGTCCCATAGGTGTGGCAGAGGGCTAGGGCCCAGGAACTGTGCTAGATCAGATGATTGTCTCTAGGTCTGCAGACAAATCTGTAAACCAGGTGCTCTATCATTTGAGTAGAAATATGGCCTACCTGCTATCTTCCTGCCTGCTGGTGCCCAGAAGGTTCAACGTTCTGTCTTAACTCTGAAACGTCACATGCTACCCTGTAATCACATTAGATCACCTACCTGAAATCTTCTAAGATATTAAATCTCTAAAAGACCATTGTATTAGTCTCTTCTCACATGCTAATAAAGACATACCTGAGACTGGGTAATTTATAAAGGAAAGAGGTTTAATGGACTCACAGTTCCATCTAGCTAGGGAGCCTTCAAAATCATGGCAGAAGGCAAAAGAGAAGCAAAGACACATCTTACACGGTGGCAGGCAAGAGAGCTTGTGTAGGGGAACTCCCCTTTATAAAACCGTCAGATCTTATGAGACTTATTCACTATCATGAGAACAGCATGGGAGAAACCTGACCATATGATTCAGTTACCTGCCACTGGGTCCCTTCCATGACATGTGGAAATTATGGGAGCTACAGTTCAAGATGAGATTTGGATGGGGACACAGCCAAACCATATCAACCATTAAATACCATTAGTTTCCATGCTTATATAATGTATAGATTGAAAGGGTCACATCAATATCATGTTGTTTTGGGGATTTTCTCTACTTTTTTGGAGCAATAGGTTGAAATATGCCAAAGTTTAAAATGATTAAGCAACTATTTTATTTGGGAAATATGAACTATTAGGTTGTTATGTGAAATACAAAGGAATGTATCTCTTATGTATATGCATAGTTTATTTTTCTTGCTATATTGTACTTACATATGTTAAATACTGCATTGGAGAAAATTCATGCACATGTTTAAATAAAGTAATTCAATACAATAGTCTCAGAAATAGGTATTAATATAGACATTTAATCTTTCAAAATTTATCAATCTTGAACTGTGGATAAGTTAATCATTTGCAGCTGTCACAGGTTGACTTCCACTTCCACTTCAATAGCTACTGTAGTTAAGTTCAACATATGGACTCATAACTTAAAGAATGTTCTTACATAAAGGGTGTTTATGATAAAAAAATTAATGCCAAACAGATCAGGCATAAGCTCCAGCACTTGCAGAATTCATTCCTCTAGTTTCACAATTTTTAAGTGTTATGATATCATTCAGATTAGTGTTTTAAAGTTATCATTTTTCACTCTTGCAGAAAGAATACCTGTATAATAGGTCTTTCATAAAGTTTGCACTTCTTTCACATAGTCTATTTTTCTGTGTGTGCCACCAGAATCACTCAAGAAAACTTAAACCTTATTCTCTTACATATGCAATAGGACCTGTTGTTGGGTTGTGCTCCTTGGTAAAACACACGATTTCTAGTTTATCTGTTTACTTTATATTTTATATATTAAGGTTTATTTATGGCACATTTTATTTTATTCAATTAGCAGAAGACTATTTCACACACAGTTCACTTCACTTTTAATCACCTATATTTAGGATTGATTTGTATGGAAACTAATTTTCTGAAACAGAGCAATTATGATTAAGAGTCTCATGCCAGTTACTGATGCTAGTTATTAGTGCTATGATTTAATGTATTTTATTTATATTGTCATTTAAAAATATTGCAGTCATGCAGGCAAATTGTTGATTATTTGTCAAATAAGCACCTAAATGTAATCTTGGGCAGATGTAACATATGCAAAGACATCAAATGATCTCTAAAATAAATCCAAATCCCTTCTATTAAGATACAGCTGTCCTAATGATTTTTGAATTCCCTTTCCTAGAATGCTGTAATTGAGATGAAAACTGACATAATTTTAACATGTTCCAATTCTAAAATACAAATTTCCCATTAAATGCAATAATCACTCAGAAATCTAACTAATTAATTCCATCCACTTTGGAACAAAGTTTCAGGTTTTTTTTCCTTAAAAAGTCTTATGTAGTACTTTGAATACTATGATGTTAAAATGTTAAAATATCTTTAAATTCCTCCATCTTTACATTTGTGAAAAGACGCAAAATATTGAAACAAATAGTAGGTTGCATATTCAGCTTTGACTTTATTAATTTGTGATCCAGAATTGTGTAGTTTAATTTGTAAATCTTTATAGGGGAAAATGGGAAACCCAGACTGTTCCTGGCACTGATTGAAGTGGAGATCTTTCTAGTCTCTAAAGAACATATAAAATTACCTTTGGTGTTTTGATCTCAAACACAAAATAGTATTGTACATAATAATTGTGTTGATTCATTTCTTATTTGGGGCTTATTACATGTGCTTTGAGAAAGTATGTTGTTGACAATGTTTTACACTTATTTACTATAGTGTAAAAAAATTGGTGGGCTTTAGATTAGATTCATTCAAACCCTTCTAAATGGGAATATTCTTGGATTTCAGAGAGTGATGCTCCTAAATGGAATCTTACCCAATGCATTGAGCAGCAGTGTTTACAATGCCTCAGAAATGAGAATCTGTCTATTCCAAGGGAGATGATCACTGCCATGAAGCTGATTTTTTTTTTTTTTTTTTGGAGACAGAGTTTCGTTCTTGTCACCCAGGCTGGAGGGGAATGGCGTGATCTTGGCTCACTGCAACCTCCACCTCCCAGGTTCAATCCATTCTCCTGCCTCAGCCTCCTGAGTAGCTGGGATTACAGGCGCCTGCCACCATGCCCGGCTAATTTTTGTATTTTTAGTAGAGATGGGGTTTCACCATGTTGGGAAGGCTGGTCTCGAACTCCTGGCCTCAAGTGATCCACCTGCCTCGGCCTCCCAAACTGCTGGGATTACAGGAGTGAGCCATTGCACCCGGCGAAGCTGATTCTTTTTTAGCATTGCTCTCTAACTTATACAGGCCTTGGTATAAAAAGGTAGAGCTGCCAAATCCTTGATCCTCTTATGCTTGCCTACATCAGACTCCATCATCACCAAATTAATATGAAATCCCTAGTAATAACATTCATCTTACATATTTTTTCTATATGGTAAAATACATAGGAAATTATATTCATTTTCTAGTGATAGCATAACAAATTTTTATAAACTGTGTGGTTTAGAACAACTGAAATGTATTCCCTCAAAGTTCAGGAGGCCAGAAGCCCCAAATTAAGATGTCAGCAAGGTTGATTCTTTCTGGAGGCTCCAAGGTAGAAACTGTGCAGTGCCACTCTCTTAGCTTCTGGTGGTCATCAGCACTTAGCGTAGCTTGGCTTGTGGACTCATCTCTGTCTCAATATTCACATCACGTTCTTCTCTGTGTCCTTGTGTGCCCCTTTTTGTCTCTTGCAAAGACACTCTCATTGGAGTTAGGGTGTATCTTAATCTAGTATGCTCTCATTTGCATCCTTACCTTAATTATATCAGCAAAAATCCTATTTTCAAATAAGATCACATTCAGAAGTCCTGGGTGGATATACATTTATGGGAGGAACACTATTCATTCCCACTACAGGTATGGAAAAATACGTTGTCCTTGGTAAACACTATTGGGAAATAAGACCCTCTATTTCTAGGTGTCAAGAATATCTAAAACTTTAACTTTTACTATGGATCAAGCATTACCCATTAATGTATTAACTCATTTGATACTCAGAAAACTCCATGAATTAAGTACTGTCTGTTGCCATCTCCAACTTACAGATGGAAAAACTGAAGCACAGAAGGGTTGAAAATGTTTTGACAGTTATTATAGCTGTTAAATGGCTGAGCTACATTTAAATCCAAATATTCTAACACAGAGCTCATGCTCTTAACCACTATCATATTCCCAATAAGGAAACAGGACGGGGAAGAAAGGAAAAGCAAACAAACCAACGGTTTGAAGGACTAATATGCCTAAGTGCATGTGTTAGGTAATCTAACTTTAATGATAGACCACTTTAGTAGGTCTTATCAGTATTCCTTATTTTCCCGAATTAAAAAATGACGGTAAAGGAATAGGAATTTTCTCAAGGTTCCATAGCTGGTAACATCCAAGTCCTGTTGTGGCTGCTTTCAAAGCTCACTCTGATTCATCATATGTTATTTTCCTTGTTCCAGGAATGATGGGTTTTAACAACCTTCTCAGAATTTATATGTATATTTCTAGATCAATTAATTTCCCAATTCTCAATGGTGATTTGCTGTGGAATTATTAAAAGTATAAACGTTATTTCCCTTCAAATTTATAAATGATTTAAACATTTTAAAAAATGTATCTGGTCATTAAATATCTACAGAAAATATTATAATGTAATACCACTACTCATAAGTGAGAAATAATATTTTCAAAGATTGTAGAAAAATATAAAATTAATAGAGTTAAATGGATTTGGAAAAAATAAATATGTTTCAAATTGGATTATTATGTTACTGTAGCTTTCAAGTATTTAAAATATTTCTAAGGCAAGAAGATATGCATGCTTCAATTATAAGATTTAAAAGTAATGATTTAATTTTGCAGCAGTGTAAAAATGAACATACATTTGGGCCAATTTCTAGTCTCATTCCCGTGAACTTAAAATTGGAAATAAGTGCTCACAGATATTTCCAGATTGACTATTTTAGAAACCACATGGAAGTTCTGGAAGGTGAAAAATCTGACTTTTTATAATGAGATTTCATCAGGGAACACTGACAAATAAAAAATATTCAGCAATATTTTTCTTGTAATCTTGTGTACCTCATAATTTATAAGAAAAAAGCTCTATTTTTAAAATTAGTCTGACAAGTTTTTTTCTTACCATGTATTTTATATATAACTGGTGTCATTAACACACAGCATATTATGCTATGTTTGCATTCTTGGCATTAAAAGACTTTTTATATACTTTGTAGAGAATGATGTGTTAATAGAAGTGGTGCAATTAATTTGAAGAAATAGCCATTAATTTTGGCTGGAAAACTTTTAAAGACTCATGCCAATCACTATAAAATGAAATAAATAAAAATATCAATTGTATTGAAGTTGCAAGAAAGCAAAGCAGAATGGTATATTTATAGTCTCTAGTTTGGACATTTGTAAAATAGTGCAAGTTTCTGTCATATTCTCTTGAACAAAAAAATAGACTTTGTCATTTATTCAATTTAGGATTCAAATGAATTGCTAAAGGTACACACCCTATTGTAGTCATTTATGGTAATATTAGAACCACTGAAAGGCTTTAGGAGAAATTTCTATATACATCATAATTTATTCACTGAAAAGACCCTGATACAATTACAATTCTTCTTCGTCTCAGGTAATTTAAACCGTCATTTACCATTTCCGAGGGAGAACATTAACACTCTTCAGTAGGAACTAGCGACAAATATGTAATGGGAAATATACATGGAAAATTTTTCTCAGTGTCATATCAAATAATCATTTATTAATTACTTCAGAATATTTACACCTACTTGTGACAGGTTTTTGCCAGGCAATGGAGGCTCATTGTTTAGTGGAAAAAAGGCACAGTTCCTGCCTGACAGCAGGCATATGGTCACGCAAGGTTGAAAACACGTGGGAGTAGTATTCAAACATTTTTGTTGCCCAAGGATAGCATAAACAAGAAGAGCTAAATAAATAATTCATGGATATGCCAAAGAAAGTCCTTTGGCATTTGACTTAGTATGTTACACATAGGCTGTGGGAATGACTTTTTTTTTCTTTGAGGGTCGAATGAGTGTGTGCATCATAGATCAAGACTACTGCCTTTTAAAAAATGTGCATGTTAAAATAAATCAATAATTTAGGGTAGAATATTTGCCTTGCATTATTTTTATCTCCACAATCTTGCTCACTCTGGGCCTACTGACTGACAACCGTGTGCAGTGTACTGAATATTCCCCCCGACATCCTTCCTTATTAAAAATTCACATCAAAACTTAAAGAGGCAACTCTAAGTTTTAATCCATCTTAGCATCTATCGCAATTCATCTCATGCCTGCATTTCCATAGCAATCATTTCCTGTACCAATCTTTTGGTTCAAGAGAGGGACTTGCAGTGATGCCTACTATCGGCTCTCTGGAGACAAATTGCTTGGAACAAAAGCTGAGTCTTATTTTGCTAAGTTACCTTAAGCAAATGAGATAGATCTTGGTTTCTGGGAAGAGTAGGTAAGATAAATATTCAGCTCAATGCCTAGAACATTAAAGTGTTTAGTAAGCAGCATTTTCTCCTACATTTTATTGCCTATTTTTCTTTCCCTTTTAAATTACATTGTTTCTATATTTACCCAAGAATTCCGAGAAAATTATTTTAAAAAGCCAATAGTGTTAAAAAATTTATGATAACAACCAGAATAAAACTAGTTCTTTTCTGCCCTCTTTCCAACTCACCTACCTCATTCCTCTCACCATTCAGATCACCATTGTGATCTTTGTGATCTATGGCACATATTTGAAAAATTTGGCCAATACAACAGTGAAATATTTGTCCACAAAACAATGCAGGAATCTCTCATGAATACAAACTGAATCACAAAATATAGTCAATATATAACAATATATAATATTTGTAGTGAAATAAAACCAAAATATAAGATAATAAAATCAATAGGTGAAGTTAAACCTTTTAAATAACTCTTACCATAGTATCAAAGATACTATGTAAAGTTCCTACTAATAAAAACAGTTTCTCACTTTCCTAAAAAAAAATTAATCATGTTAGAGTTTAAAAATTTGATTGGAATTTTTATGAAGGAGCTCTGGAGCTGACGAAGCCCATCAGAGTTGTTTCAAGTTGGGCTAAGTTTGTGAGTTTTTTTCTACGCCCATATATGGGATGATTGATATACCCCATATCAATCAGTCATTGGATATAGGCAGCTGTGGAAGGAACATAACCTTGGGTGAGGTGGTTTTCTGCCGCTAAGGCAATGCTGAAGGACCTGAGAGCTGCACTCAGTCCCCTGACACCACTCTGCATCTCTGACAGGTCCCTCTTTGAAAAGAGATATAAGCAAAGCTTCTCTTTGTCTATTGGTGTAACTTATGTAATCTTTAAAAAACATTATATTGGTTCAAGAAACACTTTCAGACAATGAGAAATACCTTGGCAAGATCAATCGAACATTTAAGAAGAAATTATTGACAGAAAAGTTAATGGATTTTATTTTATGGAAATGTGCTTGTTATTTTTGAGGTCATAATTTGATTTGGGATGCAGATCTTAAAATGAATGACTGTGTTCTACATTATGGCTAGAAATAAATACACCATGGAAGCCTAGTGATTTGGATTTTTAAACAAATTTAAGAAATTTGTACAATAAAAAATGAGATTGAGTGTTTGTCTTTACTTCAAGGAATGAATTTTAATTCTAGTTTTTGTTAAATGGTCACTCAAGATTTATAGTTCAACAATTCTTCCACAAGGCCGCCAAAGGCTATTTTGGAGTTCTGTTTCTGCTATTTTCCAAAGGATATTGGAAGGCTTATAGCTACAATAAACTGTATTTTTTTTTTGGTTCAGTGAATTTGAGACCCATTAATCATATGATTTTAGAACCAGAGTTGAGAATTAAAGAACCTGAAATGAAGTTTGCAAAATGGTGGTCCACAAGCAAAAGCTCTCTGCTGACAGGTTTTGTTTTTCCCACTTGTATTCACATACGTTATAAATTACTTGCTATTAAGTTGAATTAGTTGCTTTTCTCTTCTCCACTCTGGGAAAGAATTATATTTTCCCAACCAAGACATTAGTATTGGCCATATGACTGTTTTGTCATGTGAAGTGTTATTGACATATCTTGGTTTTAACAACCACTGGATTCTTTGCCACATTCTCTTTTCTCTGATGCAACTCAATCAGCCTGGAGTGATTATGACATGGAGCACACAAGCAGCAGAGCTGCAGGTAACCTGTGATGGCCATGTAGGATGGACAAGAAATACATTTTGTTGCTGTAAGCCATTACAATTTTCAAATTGTTTGTTACTACAGCATTATCTCATCTATTCATATAGATTTGCCAACATTTAAAACATGAGAACTATAGCTTCTGGTCTAATTAGAATATCTGATTATTTCACTATTGGATAGTGGTTACTTCTTCAAGTAAGCAGTGTATTCTCCAGTTTGCCACGGTGCCCACATAGCTTTTAGCTACATATCTGTAACCTATAGAAAATCGTATTTGCAGCTCTGACCTAAGACTTCCCTTGTCAATTGAACTATATAAATGTGAATTTAATCTGTATGTGTGCATACAAACACACATATACACATACACTTACAGTCATCACAATATTACTTGAAACTAGAAAATTTCTATTAACATTAGAAATAAAAAATCATGTCTATTACCATTACTATTTAACATTTTATTGGAAATATTAGCCAATTCACAAAAGAAATAAAAGGATTTTGAGTCAAAATTATTAAGGTTTACAGGAATGCAACTGTCTGCAAATAAGTTCCAAAAGATTTAGTTATATAACTATTAAAACTGGTATGAGATAACTAATGTCTTATAGAAAGAAATATACCAAAACCCATAGTTTTCCAATCTATTCACATAAATAGTAAGACAATATAATAAAAAATAAATTTACGAGAGAAAATATTATGGAGTTCCTTGAATAAAAATTAAAAGACATTCTTATCAACTAGTTTACATATTTAGTACAACTTTAACCTAAATTCAAATATTATTTTAGAAAATATGATAAAATTATTCTAAAATTCTGCTGGCATACTACTGAGACAATAAAAAGGCAGTAACAGCCAGGAAAATTATGGAGAAATAAAAAACAATGCCATTATAATATATCAAAAAGTTAAAATAATCAAAATAAGTGTGGTAATATATTAAAAGACAGAGAAAGCAGTGAAACAAAAAAGGGAGACTCCTGAAAGTGACAGAATTTAGTATGTGTTGCAGATGGGAATTTTTAGAAAATGGGTGAAATTAGTAAGTGTAGTATGATTTTATAAATCTGTAGTTACCTGAGGAAGAAACCATAAAGGTTAGACTGAAATACATAAAGTAAGAAAAATATAAAATTATCAAAATTCTGTGACAAAAACATCATAAACACAATTAAAAGAAAAATAGTAATCTGAAAAAAATGTTTACATAAAAAGTATTCATATTTTCAAAGTAAATAAAGTTCTTATAAATCTATTTTAAAATGCACACTCCAAAAGAAAAAGAGACAACACGAATAATTGCAGTAGTCAAGAATCTTTCTGCATTGACATCAAAAAACCCAATACAAATTAGCTTGAATAGAAAGGGGGCGTATTTGTTCATTTAACTGGAAAACCTATGTATAGCTGGATTCAACTGTTTAAGCTATGATATCTGAACTTTTTCTCCATCCCTTAGTTCTGTTTTCCTATATGTTGGCTTCATCTTCAGACAAGGTCATTTGCCATGGTGGCAAAGAGACTTCTGGCAGTATCAGGGGTACATCCCCCCACCTTTTTTAAAGCTATTCCAAAAGTAAAAGGGCTTTCCATCAGCAAAATATAAAATAAGCTGTAATTTGCTCTGATTGGGCCATGTGCCAATTGTGGACTAATTACAGAAGTAGAAAATGAGTTCTCCGGACACAGGGAGGGGAGCAACACACACCGGGGCCTGTCAGGGAACAGGGGGCAAGGGAAGGGAGAACATTAGGACAAATATTAATGCATGAGGGGCTTAAAAACTAGATGGCAGGTTGATAGGTACAGCAAACCACCATGGCACATGTATACCTATGTAACAAACCTGCACATTCTGCACATGTATTCTGGAACTTAAAAAAAAATGAGTTCTCTGATTCATCAAGCATTGGTAACACGAATCCTTGTATATGGCATCAGTTCACCCAAGCCAAGTGGCCTGAATGAGCCAGGAAGTCTGACTTATCAAAGAAAATACCCAAAGGATTGTAAATCATGCTTACTATAAAGACATATGCACATGTATGTTTATTGCCGCACTATTCACAATAGCAAAGACATGGAACCAACCCAAATGTTCATCAATGATAGACCCGATTAAGAAAATGTGGCACATATACACCATGGAATACTATATAGCCATAAAAAAGGATGAGTTCATGTCCTTTGCAGGGACATGGATGAAGCTGGAAACCATCATTCTAAGCAAACTATCACAAGGACAGAAAACCAAATACCGCATGTTCTCACTCATAGGTGAGAATTGAACAAAGAGAATACTTGGACACAGGGCGGGGAACATCACAGTGGGGCCTGTTGGGGGGTGGGGGGCTGGGGAAAGGATAGCATTAGGAGAAATATCTAATGTAAATGACGAGTTGATGGGTGCAGCAAACCATCATGGCTCATGCGTACTTACGTAACAAACCTGCACATTGTGCACGTTTTGCAAATGTACCCTAGAACTTATAGTATTAAAAAAATGTTATCTAGTTCATTCTCCTAACCAATGGGGAACAATGGAATATTTCTAATTCAGTGCATCTATCTACAGTGCCTCTTTCTAATTATTAGAGAGTTCTACATTATTTTTAGTTAATTTATTTTCTATTAATGTTTTCTCACTTGTCAAAGCTTTGCTGTCTGCAACAACATAGCTTAAGTATCCTTCACTCTGCAGAACCTTAAAATATTGAATAAAACAATTATTTCTCCAAAAAAAATACAAGTTCTGTTGCCAGAAAAGTGAAGGCTAGGCCAGATGACAAAGAACGAGTCCAAGTATGAAAATGGACAAGCATGACAATTTAGTTGAATTTTTTTTCATTTTGATCTATAGTAGAAATAGAAAAAAACTCGATTAAAAATCTGTATTAAAAATAATAAAAGAAGCTCTTTAATGCCCCTGTAGTTCCTTGCTGAAGCATACTTGAAGTTTTGTATACAGATGCTCCTAGGCTTATGATGAGATTATGTCACAACAAACCCACACTAAGTGAAAGATACAGTAAGTCAAAAATGCATGTAGTACACCTATCTACTGAACATCATAGCTAGCCTAACCTACCTTAAACACTCATACTATGCTACAGTTGGGTAAAATCATCTGGCAACACAGTATACTCTCCAGAGTATACAGTGTACTCTCCAAATCACTTGGCTGACTGGCCCAGCATCACCAGAAAGCATACTACTGCTTTCTGCTGATAGCTATTGCCTTCACATCATGGTAGTTTGAAAATCATTAAGTAGTACCATTGTAAGTCAGCGACCGTTTGTATAATGCTTCATGTGTGGTGATCTGCCAGTCAGAAGGAGTGAATTTCAGGTCCATTGCCAAATGTATACTATTAGCCTGGTGAAGGAAACACATGAACATCTGATTCTAACTGCTAGTGTATAAGGGAATTCTTGCTGCCTTACAATTGCATACTCTGTGTTCTATTTCTTATTGTGTCCCTAGACTATTCTAAAGATGGACTGGAGCTGGGCATTAAATGCATGTTATTTAATGTATAGCAAGAGAGAGAAGTAATGAAGAAAAAAACTATAAATAGATGAAAGATGGTCACATGAAACAGTAATAAAATAATTGTGAATTAATGATATGCTGTAGTATTTTTCACTTATCAGGTTGCAATGGTTTTAAAATGTATGCTGTTCTAATTGGGTGAGAGTATAGAGAAATAATCTCCCATGTACTGTTCAAGATATTTTAAACTGGTGGTATTTCTACAAGGCAATTAGCCATGAATTTATCAAAGTTTTAAAAGTAGTTTTTCCTCAAAATATTAATATTTATTTCACTAAAATATTACTGTTTACTCTTGGAAAATGTATATTTATAGAAATGTATGTATATAAATGTGTAAATGTTTTAAATGTAAAATGTTTCAGTAATTATTAATTGATGGGAAAAATTAAAAATTATATATATTATATATATATATATACACACACACACGCATATATATATGCATATAACATTTGGTTAATCTACATTACATTTCCATGACAGAAATGCTACTATTTTCTTAAGTTTGAATCTGAGCATTGCAAATTTTGATTGTAGATATTTAGAGGTCATTTAGGAGAAAGAGTACTTACCTCTAATTTTACTTGGACTTTTCCAAAAATATTTTCTAAAAGGGATTGGATTTTTTTTTACTCATAAAATGCATATGTCATTAGTCAGTTACCCTCAACATACTTTGAGAAGGGCTACATTGTCAAAATTTTAAAGATGTACACTAAAAGGAGTGTATTGTTAGTAGACTTCACATTTTGAAAAAAAGAGCATCTGGGTAATATAACATGGCCTCGTTTATAAATTTATGAGGTGATATTGGAAATATAATTCATGTTCTGAAACCTAAAATACTAAAATCACATAGATTTTAATGAAACACATGTATTATGTAATACAGTCCATGTATATTATTTGGTACCCACATAGTAAGCCTCATATCACTGCTTTTTTCCCCCATATTGAAATAGGGAAATGTAAATTACATTAATAGCTATTATGGAAATACTAACAAACCCAAAGCATTACATAAACACTATGCTAACAGTTTATTTTGCATAAAAATTTTGACAACTAAATGCAGATGACAGCTTAACTTCAGGATAATCAATGAACTGAGACAAATCAGAAACCAAAAAATTAACAGATGCACAAAAAATATTCTTTTAGCAGATATTTAAAACTAAAAAGTTGTAAATTTGAGATGAACATTTTCTTTAAAATTAAAGTAAACTCTATATTGGTTTCTATCAAGTGAAGTTTTCCCATTATTTTTTCCAAAACGGAGTGAGGCTTAGAATCTTATGAATCTACATTACATTTTTTTTTTTATTTTCCTGAAACCTAAAAAGAAAAAAAAATGCCTTTTGTTTCTAGAAGGCTGGGGCATCTTCATATCAATTTTAGTCTAAATTACTTAAGAAATAATCATTTTTTTTCCAGTCCAGGTTTTGGAGACCAGATTATCATTAACCTGGGATAAATGAAGTTTTGGGAATTTTCCTCACTGCACAATTACTGAAATTTTGATCTTCAGATTTAGTTATGATTGTAGGATATGCTGTTATTCCCTGAACAGTCAGGTGGAAATTGTTGGGCTGGGTTATTTTTCTAGATGCTGCTTCTAAGCGTTAGTCTGCTTCACCTGGTTAATGACCCCGGCATTAACATAAAGTGTTTCCCAATACCACTGCCCATGCTGAGCAAACATGCTTCCCCACCTATTGCTCTCTTGGATCAAAAGCCTATATTTCATTCATTGTTCATTATTCTCTCACATAGTTATGTCTTATTTCAGAGGGTCAGTTGAAGTCCTTTCATTATGGGCCAAATTGTTTCTTTAAAAAATTTTTTGGAAGCCATTGGAATTAGCATGTAATCCAGTTTTGAATGAAAAACTGAAATAACGTCTAAGTTCCAGTTTCTAATTCAGGTCCACGTGAGATGCCTACTTAAAAAATTATCCTCATTTTTAAAGGTATTATACAAAGTAGTTACAGTGAAGTCCTTGACCGAGAAGCCTCCCACGTAGAACAGTGATTTTTAACCACTATTATTGCTTCTATGCTCTAAGTATAACAGATACTCCTCCTTCTTGATGTTTCCATGTCCTCTAGGGAAGGGCATCTTGGAAATCCCAGGATTACTAGGAAACTGGAGTAGGGCGTATCCGGTCATCTAATAATGGTGATATTTATGAAATACTCCTTATTCCCTGGCACTTTGTTAAGCACTTTACATAAACATTGTGTCTTTTAATAAATACAATGCACAAAACAATCTCTTAATGTGAGCACTAATATGAAATCAATTTTTCTAGGAAACTCAGTCTTAGCAAAATTAATTCACCCATGTTGAAAATTAGTGCCTGGTTGGATCATAATTCATGCTCACAACTGTCTGTCTCCAGAGCCACTCCTCTTATCCACTATATTTCTTCTCTTTGACACTAACAATATTCTGTGTTCTTGTTGATGCATACAGTTCTATGGAAGAATAGAACAGGGAACCATTTTTTTTCTAAAACAGTGCAGAATAAATTATATGTTTAAAAAGGAAAATAATCTTATTGTGTCATTCACCATGCATCAATTGTTTCCTAATAGCAATGGGATTTGAACAGAATCTTAGGATACTTAGAAATTTAACATATGGAAAAAAAAGCCATGGTATTTCAAGATAAAGTTATGCCATGAGGAAAGATGCAGGCATGATTGATGAAGCATAATAGCCACTGAAGGTAGAAAAATAAATTTTGTTTGTAGTGGGTCGTCATGGTTATTGATTTTTGCTTGCTCTGTCTTTATGAACTTTAGCACTTCACATAGGGTGTGGGAGGATGACATATTCACAAATAAAAATTACAATGCAGTTTAATAAGTCTAGAATAAGTGTGCCTAAAATACAAACATAATTACCAAGGTAAGAGGCATTCACTTTTCTTGATAGAGCAATGTATTGGGTTTTGTTTTTTTTTTAATGTGAGGATATTTGAATATTTTTATGTAGAACACAAGAGGTCTTTCCAAACAGTGGTAACATGAACAAAGACATAATAGTTTGAAGTAGGATTTTGGATTGAGAGAATGCCTGAAATTATCTTATATGTTCAGACCATGTGTGGGATTATGGCATGGTGAGAGATGAGGACTGTCAGATAGGTAGAGTTCTGAGAAACCTGGTATTTGAGGAAATAGCATCAGATTTGTTTTAGGAAGTGTGGCAGTGTGGAGTTTGTGAAATGAGAGAGATGTAGGGCAGAGAAACCAATTAGTGGAAGATTAATACAGTAGCACAGACTTCAGATAGTGAATCTACCATTAGGAATGGGATTGGAAATATGTGATGCAAAAGTGAGTAAGAGGTACATGGACATATGATGGGTCATAGGAAGAGAGGTTAGTAGGTTATTGAACGACATAAAGGATGAGATGTATAGGAACAGGGTAAGAATCCAGGGTCCTCTTAAAGGGATATACCCATGGACAGCTCCAGGGAATCTTGTGGGAGTGTGGTAGCCAACTAGTGAGCACTGTGCCTCCGTTGTGCTGAGGCTCATACTATTGCTCTTCCCACTGGTGTTGAGAGCGCACCTCCCATCACCTGCAGTTAGCACATTGCTTGCTGACTCTTCAGCATAAGTGAACCCTCTTGAGCGGAAGTACATTTTCCAAGACTTTGCTTCATCCTCACTAGAGTTACCCTCATGTAGCCAATCCTTATATTGTTTCAAGACAGTCACAATCCCCAAAAAAATCAGAAGATGAATCCTGGACCCCCCAAATGTATGAAAAGGAAAGCCTGTCTTCAACATCCCACCCAAGTATTATTAAATAATAATAATCAGTTTGAGTATTTGTCCCTGAGCCAAGACAGTGGAGAAGCACTCCTCTATTGAATTCAAATAGGAATGTATCTATTTTTTTAAAAAAAGGAGAGGATAATAACTCTGTATACTTTTAATGAAGAACCATTGATACAATATATATGAAAGCAAAGATACTTTGAAGAATTACACATAGATTTTTATTATCACTTAATTGACAATTATAATCCATGTATTTCTTTTGCTACATTATCTCCAATTAAACTGAAAAGATTTCAGAATGATAGTTAATTTGTGAATTACGCTGAATTATACCTCTTTGTTTCCTATGAGCCTTTTTCATACTGCCTTATATTGTGGGGTTCTCAGTTTGTATTTGTTGACTCGTCATAGGAAACCTTTAAATGTGTTTGGTGGCAAAATATCTTGGAACTTAATATTAAGGAAAATGTGAAGGAAAACTTTGACTTTATCTGTCACTACTATAAATACTGAGTCATATTATAAAATGTTCAAAGAAAGTCTCTTTGACATTGCCAAGGAAATAAATACAGTGTTAGCATAAAATAATTTCTGGTTTCTGAAGAATGACACCTAATTTTAAAATCAAGTTCTAAGTTAAAAGTTAACTTGTTTTAAATTTCTTTCTTGATTTAGTCTAAGAGACACCACTTACTGGTAAAGCAAGAGTTCATAAATGGTTTGATCTCATCTCATTACATTAATTAGAAGGAGGTAGAAGATAATTTTTACAGTTTACTTCAAAACATTTAAAAAGTTCATCAGAAGTCAATTTTCAATTTTTATGAAGAATAAGACAGAAAGAGACATGGATTCAAAATTCCAAGCCCAATGTCTTTTATATAACTAATGATGTGATTTGACTTTGAATGCAATTTAGACTACAAATTTAATTCTCTACTAATCATTAGTCTTCATTTAAAATATTCTAATTGTGCCTGGGAGAGAAACAGGACATAACTGCTTTTTTTCTTTTTCACGTACACACACGTGTACACACACACACACACACAATGCCTAAAAATTCCTATTCATAAAGGGGGAGAATGGAAGACACACAGTAGATCTCTGCTCATTGCAATTCTGAAATCTGACTGGCAAGACATTGTCAAGGTCTCCAACCTTGAGCATGGGATGGATGTGTATTAAACTGTCTTAAGCTCTATTTCATTTCCTGTATTAAGCCCTAATTCATTTTCCTGTATTAAGCTCTAATTCATTTCCCTAGAAGGAATTATTTCATCCATTTTTCTTCATGGCTCCTCGATCCACCACCCATTTGTAAACTCATTCTAGTCCTTTTTTCTCTTTGGCCACATCTTAAATAAGTGTTAGACAGAATACCTTCCTCTGAGCTGTGGAATATTCAGGCTGTGCTTCATGCTGGTGGAAAATTGGATTCTCAAGGTTGTTACTATTTACTTACTTGTTTTAATTCTGAAGCAGTCAAATTTCTGACTTTTTGACAATAAAATTTTCTCAAATCAGAAGAGCTGCTGATTTGTTTTATTCTAATTTTACATGTACCAGTAATCACATACTCAAAGTTCTTTTCCAGATGTCGTTCTCAAATTTCTCTATTTCATTGCTTTTCACCAACTTGCTTACCTGTTACTTTAATGGTAAACACCTATTTAGGAAAATGAATGGGAAACCATGCCTAAGCTTATTAGTTTCAGATTTGATTTATTACATTTATTTGAGACATTTCACTGGATCTTGTTCAATCCTTTTAAAATTCTATCGCCAACTGCTAGGAGTCTATAAGCATCTAGCTGTCCTAACTCTGGAAGGCACAGAATTTCAGAACTCTCTTCCCTTTTATTTCAGCTTGCAAAATGGCCAATTTGTTCTTAAATTGACCTCCTCCTTTTGATGGTAATATTTTGTTAAAGTAGTCCATAATGTTCAAACTATATTAATTCAGTATAAATATACTAATATACTAATTATACTACTATATTTTTCCAACTATATCCCCTAAAGTTTCCAGATGAATAGGAAATAGGAATAAGAATTGTCTGCTTTCAAGTTACTATATGCAAAAGTTTTATCAAGTGTTTGCTTTTGCAAAATACGGTTCATTATCTTTCTAAATTTCAATGTAAGGTTTCAAACTGTCCTTTTCCTGTTCACTAAACATATAATATATGTTTTAGGTCTTTGTTACAGCTATAGCTCTCATATAATATTGATTTATGAATTAGGATAAGTTATGCGATGGTTAAAAATAAAGCATGAAATCCTAGTGGCTTAGTAACAACAATGTTTATTTCTTGCTCTTGTCAAGATTGTATTGGTCTAGTGTGTATTGGAATTGACAGTCTTTGGCAATTGTCATGGACTGCATGTTTGTGCCTCCTTGCCAAACCCAAACGTTGAAATCCTAACCTCCAATGTGATGGCAAGGCCTTTGGGAAGTGATTGGGTCATGAGAAAGGAGCCCTCATGAATGGGATTCGTGTCTTTATAAGAAGAGGCCAGAAAGCTAGCTCATTCCTTTTCTACCATGTGAGGATACAATGAGATGTTGGTAGTTTACAACCTGGAGGCAGGTCCTTTTTATAATCCAATGATGTTGGCACCATGATCTCCGATTTCCAGCATCCAGAACTACGAAAAATTAATTTTTGTTGATTGTAAGTAACTCAGTCTGTGATATTTTGTTAGAGTAGCCTAAACTGACAGCAGTTTACCTTCAAGCAAGTACTCAGAAATTCAGTCTCTTTTCAGGTTACAATCCTGGTAATTTAAACTCATGGCTCCTAAAAAGGATCAAAAAGGGACCCTGGAGACAGACCAGAAAGTATATATATTATTGTCATCCACTTCCATTGATCAGAAGCAAGAAATGTACTCAATCCAGCTGTAAGAATTTGGAGTCATTCTGTGTTTCCCAAAAGGAGAATTTGATGAACATCTAGGCATTATGTGGAATATTATCTCCTGCTGTTATTTTTTTTTTCAAATATATGAAAAGGATCTCAATATATAGTGTGACAAATGCTTATTAAAGATTATCTAATTAATTAAAGAGACCATCCATCTTCACCTCTCACCAACCGTCTTTGAAATAATATCACTCTTCCAATTTCCTAAAAATAAAACAACTTTTCCATTATTCCTAGTGACATCAATTTTCATTTTGTGTACTGCTCTCTTTCAGCATATCATTGTGAACACTTACTTGGCCTTATTGCTTAACAAATTCTCTTGCATTTGGGGAAAGAAGATTTCACCTTACTTTCTTCTGTAAAACTTCAGAGTTTGCAAGTGGGTAATTCCTAGGAAAAATGTATGCCTGTTTAAGGATAGATTCCTTAACCCCTTGCTCCTTTTTCTTCATTACAGGGAATAAATAATTTTATAGTAACAGTAATCATCAACTGTTTTGATTTGCCATGACCAAAGCAAGTGCTGGACAGCATTCAGTCCCCAAGGTTTTGAGTAATATGGGAGTATCCTTTGGAAATGATTGCTAGATTTAGTTTATCTTACTCCCACTAGAGTCTGAGGTCTGGGAAATGCCAGGGATTGAGTCACCAATCAGTCATCATTATAATTTTGAGATCTGAATCTTTGTTACTCCCATAAGACAGTAAAGGTCACCCGCAGAGTGTGAATCCTCATAACTGCAAGTCTGTAAATTACCTTTAGTGTAGGGCCTTAGAGATATTGACGGAAATGGGAGCATCAGTCTGGTTCTAAATCTGTTCAAACTTTCTGGTTTCTGTTGCATATTCTAATTATGATTCAAACTTCTGTATTTTGGCTTGTGGAATGGAATTCCCAAGAATTTCTCAGTTTTCTGGTAGCAATTACTGAATACCAGCAATCCCAAAGTAAGTAAGTCTGCTTACTTGCAAGATCCCAGGTAGACACCTAGGGAATCAGGACTCTCTTGGTGGCACAGGACAGGTATACCCTAATCTTGGTTGCACTGAACTCTTCTCTTTCCAAAGGACTCTTATTTCATTGCTTACTCCTGAGACTGGTGTAAATACATAAATGTGTTGGTGTGTATATATATGTATGTGTGTATGTATGTGCATGTGTGTGTGTACACCATTTTTTCAACAGATTGAAAATCATAGTAAAAGGGTACACTTGGGTTTGATCTCAAATGATTACTTAATCTTAGGCCCTAAATTCCAGAAGATTACTCCTGAACTGTAATAATTGTAAACCAAAGAGCTCTGTGTTTTTCTCAATATGATTTAAAAAACTCCAAAAAATAAATAATTACCAAAAAGTATAAATTTTACTGATATTTCTTTTAAAAAATAATAAAGGGAACGGCCATGCCAATCTGGGCTGGGCCTAAGAGAACAATTGCAGATATGTTAAGTTTTTCGATGCATGATTAGATGCTTATCAAAAATGAGAAATGATAGGGTTTTAATTGTTTTTATTTTTAAGTGGAAGGTTTTATTATTATCATTTTTACTATTTTCACTTCTGGCTTTTTAACTTTTAACTCATGTTACATACTTTAATACATCATTTTACAGTGCAGGTATATGAGACTTGTATTCTGAGACTATGAAAGCTTTTAAACCTAGCTTTACTAGAGATCATAATATACTTAGTGATCTGGAATGTTTCATAAAAATAAAACTCCATATACTTTTATGTTTGCAAAATGCATAGAATTTTTGCAAATTCAATTATATGCATCAATTTATCTTCTAAGAATTCCCTATCTTGTTAATATAGCAGTCCCTTAGCCTCTGTGGGGGATTGAGTCCAGTACCCTTGTGGATACCAAATTTGCAGATACTCAAGTCCGTTATGGAAAAAGGCTTAGTATTTGCATATAACCTATGCACTTCTTCTGTGTACTTTTAGTCATCTCTAGATTACTTATAATATCTAATACAGGCCGGGTGCGGTGGCTCACACCTGTAATCCCAGCACTTTGGGAGGCAGAGGTGGGCAGATCATGAGGTCAGGAGTTCGAGACTAGCCTGATCAACATGGTGAAGCCCCATCTCTACTAAAAATACAAAAATCAGCCAGGCCTGGTGGCGTGCGCCTGTAATCCCAGCTACTCAGGAGGCTGAGGCAGGAGAATCGGTTGAACCCGGGAGGCAGAGTTTGCAGTGAGCTGAAATCGCACCACTGCACTCCAGCCTGGGTGACAGAGTGAGACTCTGTTTCAAATAATAATAATAATTAATAATAATAATACCTAATAAAATGCCAACACATCACATCATTCAAATGGATTCAGTGAAGTACTCGGTGACAGCAAATTAAAGTATTGTTTTCTGGAACTTAGTATAATTTTTTTTTTAATATTTTCTATCTGCAGTTGGGTTGAACGCATGAACATGAAACCCACAGATATGGAGGGTAAACTGTATCTGTCTACCTTGCCAGATTTAAAAAAAAATTGTGCTGGAGTATCACCATACTTATGGACTGTGATGGCTTTCTGCATCTATGAATGGAATAGTCAATATCAATAGTATGCCATTAAATAAGACCTCCTTCCACACCAATGAACTTAACATTGGCTTCTCTTTAATGCTAGTAAATCAAAACAAAATGAAAGCGATTTTCGACGTTTATATCTGTTGCACATTTTTAAGAATACTGATGTCAAAAGCAACATATTTCCTAGAGAAATACCTTTCACTGGGAAAGTATGGGCATGGCATAAGAGTCTATGTTAATATTATTCTTTCAAGTGTTTTCAATGTATATAAACATGACCTTTTATTGACTCATTGAAGACTCCTAATGGAAATCTTATAGAACATGTTACAATAACTGATCTTTAGGGATTCAAGTTGGTAATTACTCAACTAAATAAAGTGATTGCTTTTCTAATCTGCTCTTGTAATGTTTAGTTAATATGTTCAAAACAAAGCACATAGTGGCACTATTTCTTGTTTCCTTTTTCTTATGAGACTCATGGGACTATTAATGAATTCCAACAGAGCTATTATAAACTGGATCTTATAAATGCATTATGTTTGAAGTTCTGTGCAAATATCACAAATGTGAAGCAGAGAAAACATTTTAAAATATTATTCTAATATTTCAATAGGCGGAGCAATTTTTAAATACTCTGAGAAAGAGCATGTTTCCTCCATGATTTTAAATGTGTAGTGGAAAGCTGTGCTTCCCCATTAGGCCAAGAAAGCATAAAATACTCCGTTTGGAAACAAAACCATCACAGATACTCTTCTTTCCTATCTGACAGAGAGACACATTCTGGAGACTTCAGGTATCAGTACAGAGTGCATATTTCTTTTAATGAATATTCTGGAAATATATCCTCCCTGTCACTGAAGATCCAATATCAAAGTAAAGGTACAAGTTGGGTGAAGCTGAAGAGTTTTGGCTCACATAGCTAGAGTGGAAGAACCCCATAGGGAGGCTGTGAATGTATTCTGACACTTGTTCAGAAGTACAAAAAATAAAATAAAAAGTTTGCTTTGGTAAACTCCAGACATATGGTGACAGAGATAAAACATAATATTAGCTTGGTGCAAAATTAATTACTTTTTTTGACATTACTTTTCATTAAAAAGTAATGAAAAGTAATGGCAAAAACCACATTTACTTTTGCAACCAACCTAATAGCAAGCACAGGTAAATATCTATAATTTGACTCCCGAGACGGGGGCTTTCGCTCAGGATTACTCTGGAAAATCTGGAAAGTTACTATCAGTGTATTCTCTCTCAGTACTACTGGCTCAGGGAACCTAACTGTCATGTTTCCAGGGCTTTGGGCTCTCTTCTCATATGTGTTTTCATAAGAAATCTCATTTACTCATGTGATTCTTATTACTACATATAAACTCATGGGTTGCAACCTTTCCCTGTCTCTGAACTCCAGACTATGCCTTTTTATTGGTGTCTCACAGTACTTCAAAATGAATATGCCTAAAACTGAATTCCTTGTCTTCATGTCTTCATCTCATTAAACACCCCGCCACTTGTTCAGCATTCAGCTTTCGGCGTCTTTTATACTACTTAACTCTGAGGGTAGCAGAGCCATGTATACAGTCACTTAAGTACAAAAAATAAATTAATGAAGAAAAAAGTTCAAGACTGTAGAATTTTTAAAAAGTGATTGTTTTGGTGTGTGATAAAGATATATTGTATTTATATAAAAGATGTTCAAAATTTATGGACAGTGCAGAGATTCTAAGATATATGAGACAATCTGTTGACAAATATTAAACTAATGCACTTTAATCCCTGCCAAAACCTGTTCTTGAAAGTTCTCACCCTAATATAAATTCCAATGTTTGCCTCTCCAAAGCAAGGGCTGACGGGCAGTTGACCTCCTTGGTGAGACAAGACTTTAAGCCAGACTTCTATCTTCAGATAGGATTTTCTAAAGCCTTTCTCTTTTCTTTTAGCATGTGAAGAATCAAGCCTGGAGGGTTCAACTCAAAACTTTCTCCCTTAGTATGGAAAATATACAATTGAGTTTAAGGCTTTCTGTTTTTTATTGGCAGGTGGTTATAAAGTGCTTGAAGAAGCCCATTCTGATCACAGAGATTGGTGCAGAAAATAGGAGTGAGACAGAGATGAAGAGGAATATTTAGTATTCACATGCATGCAGCCAAAGTTTGTTCTCTGGGTGTTTATGGGAGTATAGCATAAGGTCTAAGATTAAGAGCCAGTATTATGTGTGCTTAACATTTGGGGAAAACTGAGAGGGACTTGAATGACCTAACGTCAAGTTGCCCTTCCCACTCTGCTCCTGTGGATAAGGTCCTGTAGCCAAACAACCCTCCTTATCACAAGGACCAGGCATAGTTCCTGCTTATTTCTGAGTATCTGGCTTCAGTCTTCCTGCTAGATCACCAAATTATTCAAATAAAGCAATCATGCTCTCCCACTGGAGTCTGGTGGCACCTCACCCTCTTGACATTATAAAACCTGCCTCCCATGACCTCTCGCAACACCCCCAGTGGCCCTGTGTGGTGTGTAGGATCCTTTTCCACCAGGCTATGAATCTATGGAACTAATAACCTGCTGTCAATCTCACCTAGTCAGTTTTGGATATTATGTATTCAGCCATTCCCATAATCTTAGGAGGATCTCTCCTGTACCAAAAAGATGAAGAGGATGGTGGTGGCTGGGCATGGTGGCTCACGCCTGGTGGATCACCAGGCCAGGAATTCGAGACCAGCCTGGCCAATACGGTGAAACCCTGTTTCTTCTAAAAATACAAAAATTAGCTGGGCATGGTGGTGCGCACCTGTAGTCCCAGCTGCTCGGGAGGCTGAGGCAGGAGAATTGCTTGAACTCGGGAGGCAGA
Source organism: Homo sapiens (assembly GCF_000001405.40). NCBI lineage: Eukaryota > Metazoa > Chordata > Mammalia > Primates > Hominidae > Homo > Homo sapiens. The sequence goes on from NC_000007.14 coordinate 83,787,604, forward strand.
GGTTGCAGTGTGCCAAGATTGGACCACTGCACTCCAGCCTGGGTGACGGAGCAAGACTCCACCTCAAAAAAAAAAAAAAAAAAAAAAAGATACAGTGGTATATATGTCTGGGAATTCCACAAGAATACAGAGTCCTGCCTGTTTTTATTTAGGGCTTTGGAAAGACATCCCTGCACCAAGGAGAAACAAAGCATATTAGAGTGAAGTTGGTGGTAAAGCGTGGTGAAACACAGAATCCCTAGGTGACATGCAAGGAAATGAAAGTTCCTCTGCTACCCAATGCCTTGCCCATAGTACAGTTTTAGTATTTAGTACTTATTGATTTAATAATTGAAATACTGTATGACATGCTGTAAATAGAAAGGAAAGGAAATGACCAATGTTGCAGATTTAGGAGTTGAATTAGGAGAAAAGACCATAATGGAACAGCTAACGACAAAATCAAAGAATCACATGGAGGTTGGTGTTGCGGGATTCACAGGCAAAACCACATTGGAATGCACTTCTCTACCCTTTTCAGTAAATCACAATATGGTTACTTCCTTCTTTTTCTTCAATCTAAAATTCTTTTCTCTTTCTGATATTATCAATGGGAACATAAAAAACTTTGTGAGAGGAATGGAGGCAAAATACTTCCTTGAAATTGTCTCTCTGATTTTCTTTACCTTTAAGGTCTTTCCTTTCCCCTCTCCTCGTCTCTTTACCAACAGCCAATGGAAAGCCATTTAGCTGGATTGGTCTTTATCCTCATTTTACCTGATGGCGTTTGTTGGAAACTTTTTTGGTGGGGGTGGGGAGTGTTAATTTTATATTATTATGTGTAAGTTATTTTTCACTATCCACTTTAAATATAATTAGATAACACTTTTTTAAAAGCCAGTTCCAGCTTTGCTAATTCTTTTTTTTTTTTTTTTTTTTTTTTGAGACAGGGTCTCACTATGTTGTCCTGGCTGGCCTTGAACTGCTGAGCTCAAAGAATCTCCTCGACTCAGCCTCCTGAGTAACTGGGCCTGCAGGTTTGTGCCACCAGGCCTGGCTGGCTTTGCCAACTTTTTAATGTACTATCAATTCTAGAGAAGTATTACTATATAACAAAATTTAATAATAAATATAGCTTTAAATTTTATTCATCAGAATTTTGAGCATGGTAAGTGTATAGTTATTTTCATATGAATTTAAATATTAGATGTTGGAGGAAGGATAAGATCAGGAGAAATAACTAATGGGTACAAGGATTAATACCTGGGTGGCAAAACAATCTGTGCAACAAACCCTCGTGACCTGAGTTTACTTATGTAACAAACCTGTACATGTACCCCTGAACTTAAAATAAAAGTGAAAAAAGTTAAATCTTTATAAAAATTGGGTGGGGTCAAATTGACAAGAACTTCATAACTATTTTAATATTTTTATAATCTAGGCTATATAATTTCCTAGATTATCCACGAAAGTAAAAGGAATGCCTACATTTTTTTTTTTTTTTGAGACAGTGTTTTGCTATTGTTGCCCAGGCTGAAGCGATCATGCAGTGGCATGATCTCGGCTCACTGCAACCTCCGCAGCCAGGGTTGAAACGATTCTCCTGCCTCAGCCTCCCAAGTAGCTGGGATTATAGGCACCTGCCACCACACCCAGGTAATTTTTTTTTTTTTTTTTGTATTTTTGGTAGAGACCGGGATTCACCATTTTGGCCAGGCTGGTCTCAAACTTCTGACCTCAAGCGATCCGCCCGCCTCGGCCCCGCAAAGTGCTGGGATTACGGGCATGAACCACTGTGCCCGGCCCCTACATTTCTTAACTTAGGTATAGAGAAAAAAAATCCTTCAAGCATGACACAAACTCACACATACACAAATGCACACACTCCTGCTTACAAAGTAGATATTTTATTCTCTATCATTTACCAAATTTTTAAATCAAAGTCAGCATTATTTTTCCACATCTTATTAAAGAATTTAGTGTTTGATGGAAATTTGGGGCAATAATTATATTTCTACATATATTATGAAATAAATTCAGTGAATATCATTTGTTTTCGCATCAAAAACTATCAAAATTAGCTTTTTTCTTTGAATAAACTGAAAACAAATGGTTACAGATCCTACCATTACCACACGAGACTGCTTTTGTACATATAGTGTTATCCTTTGAGATCCCTAAGTTTCTACAAACCACGTCATATGTACCTCAGTGTGTTCTGAAAGGAAACGAAATTAAAAAAAAAAATCCATGGAGTATCTAAGTACACTTCTTGTTAAACAATCACTGTTAGTACAGTATGTAATTTTTAAAACAGTTGAGTACTTTTCTTAAAAATGTCAACTTTTGAAATTATTATATGTGGAGCCATTTTCAAGTAGAAGCTGACCTTGGCAATTCTCATATGGCCCTGCCCTTGTCTGATTTTTTAAAAATATAATAGTTATTTTCTTTCTTTCTTTCTTTCTTTTTATAAATTTTTGAGACAGGGTCTCACTCTATCACCCAGGCTGGAGTGCAGTGACACAATCATAGCTCACTGCAGCTGTGATCTCCCACACAATCGATCCTCCCACCTCAGATTCCTGAGTAGCTGGGACTACAGGTGTATGCCACAACATCTGGCTAATTTTTGTATTTTTTAGTAGAGATGGGGTTTCACCATGTTGCCCAGGCTGGTCTCAGGGTCCTGGGCTTAAGTGATCCTCCCACCTTGGCTTTCCAAACTGTTGGATTACAGGTGTGAGCCACCATGCCTGGCTTATAATAGTTATTTTAGTACCTGTCTAATTCTTTGCAAGCAGGGAATTTTTTATTTGCAAGCATGGGTTTGTATTCATATTTACTTTCCTGTGCTGTGTAATACTCTTCTTGACACACAGTAGCTTCTCAATATATATTTGTTTGTATTGAATTTGGTTTATCGACATTGCAAGTTTGAAGTTATGGTATTTCCAGTTGTCTGTTTCTCATATTGTAGGAGAAATAGAATGAGACTCACATTTATCACAATAATCAAGGGACTAATCAGCTCTTGTTGCTAAGGGATAACACTTGCTGGACAGACTGGTTAGCTTAAAAATGGAACCAAATATTTTTGGGGGTATTTTATCTTGTGTTTAATAGGAGGATACATATAGAGAAGGCTACTCGCTTTTAGATAATATATCTTAATTCACATCACTGTCGTTTTTATGTGACTAATATTAAAATATAAACTGTCATTTTGTACATTATATTGACAGACTCATCAGACTTTTAAAGATTAGTTTATTTTGATATTTGTAGAAAAAATGGAGTCTAGTAAAGAATACATTTTCATATTTCAAGTTTTAATTAATTGCTAAGTGCTTTACTTATGAATTTTATGAATATTTTAACCATTTTATAAATTTTCTAATATGTGCCATAAAAAATTGATTTTTTAAATCTTGATGCTCACATGGTTATCATTTAGATTAGATCAATATTTTTGTTTTTTATATCTAGTGCATATTTTAAAAATATAATTATTCTTGCTACTCCTTTTTTAAATTCTGATTTTACTAAATACAATATATTTAAATTATATACAAATCAGGTAAAGAGGTGCCTCAAAGTATGGATGGAAGAAACTGAAAACCTTTAGAATACTAAATTAATTGCACATTTATTTGTGACAACAACTGTTTATAATATCATTGGTAGGCATAAAGAATGTCACTAGGTCCTCCCCGCAGTGCAGGCCAGAATGGCTAATGACTCCCATAAGAAAATGTTTCTGAAAATAGTAATTCACTTCTGTAAGGAGCAAAAGTAAAGAAAAACAAAAACTGTATATTCTTGTCTATTTAATTGCTTTTTTTTCCCTTTTTAAGAAGTAGCTGTAAAATAGTGAGTGGGTTTAAGAGAACAAGCTAATTTAAGAAGGAAAAAAAAGGCACTTGGATTGAAATACCTTGAATCCCCATCAAAAATTTTAGTATTTACATTCTTTTTCCTTATTTGGTGACCTTCAGATTTAACTATTATAGTAAAATCCTACAAAAATGGGAAAGTTGCAATAGGAAATTACTACTAAAATCCTTTAAAAGGTAATAGAACCTCTCTCACTATTTTTTAAAACTTACAGTATTGTTTGATTTTTCTCATAGCTTTTCTGTTGGTTCTGTGAGGAGTGTTTTGTATTTTTTTTCTTCTTCCCCTCCTTTTTCTTTCATGCTCAAAAGCAGTGTAGCATATGCCAATTTCCACTCCACCTGCCTTCTTACCTGTGGTGATATCAGCCTCCAAGGCTATAGTTGCTCCCATGAACTGTGCTTAGACTGTAGAGACATCGTCTCAGAAGTGCTGATGCCATATTCCATGACTCCTGAAAATACCAGAGAGTTATACTACCACCTTGTGCCATGAGTTTCACCCAGCAAGTTAAGTGAAAGGAACTTTTTGAGATGTTTTTATTTTTTCTTTGACCTCATCTATGCTTAGCCACCAATCAAGAACATGCCATGAAGACTGGACAAGAGGAAATTCTGAGCAGCAGATAAAATTCTTCCACTCACACTAGCCCATGTCCATTGCTTTTTGTTGGGGGTAGTCTTCCTTCCTGTAGGATAAGTAGACGTTCATAGGAAGTCCAACATTTCTTCTTGCAAACTGAATCCTGGTGGACTCCATGATCATCCTTTTGCAGGTGCTGCGGTGTCTGACTCCTGTGATGGTCAATTTTGTCTGCCAAGTTGGTACAGCTGCTATAAGTAAAATTGTTTAACTTCTGCAGCTAGTAGAATGGAGTATATGAAAATGATGTAAATTATCATAAATTTAATGAGAGTCTTTCTTGATTTTGACTCAATTTGCCTACTGCTCTCTCAAATCAAGATATTCTTTTCCTTTCTCTTGCTCATAACACTTCAGCAAATACACAAGGAGTACAAGACAGTGCCATACAGCTCCACGCAGAGATCTACTAATCCTAGAAAGTGGTAACTAGCACAGGCATTCTTATTGTTTTAGAAGCAGAAAACCTCAGATCTGTGCAAGAATATGCAAACATTACTGGACCAGTAGAAATCTAAGTGATGGAAACTCACAACTTTAACATCTGAAATGAGAAAAACCATGGGTTAAGATGGAAGTGGGATGAGGAGTGACCATTTTCTACAGTCAATGTTCTAATGAAGATTAATACAAAAATATTCATAGTGTGTAGCGTACAGGGAACAATGAGAAAAGATCATCTATACTGTCTTTCATGAAGATAAATTTTTTTACAGTCATTTAATTATTTCAAGTTGACACTATTTTCTGAATTGGGAAGCATTGAAAATGTATGTGAAACAGACTGTATTTTTTCTAGTTCATATTATCTATCTGCCTGAAAAAACTACCAAACACTATTGTCTAAAATGATTTATACAAATAGATGTATATACAGTCTTCTTTTAGTGTTTATAAAGTCCTGATTAAGGAATACCTTTTCTTACCTGTAGGTACCTGGACATAGAACTTAACTAAAAATTATAATCATACACTTTTATGCACTAAATAGCCTAAACAAGTTAAGAAGTTTATTTCTAGTGCCCCATGCTAAATTGCTACAGTAAACTAACACTTGTTAATGAATTCATATGTTCAATATTTTTTTCAATGTTGTCAAGTTACTGGGGGTGATGGATATTTATGATTACAAATAATTTATCACATTAATGGTATTAAATATTGTTTATGTTACTAAAAATGTAATTTATAATTTCTTACAAAAATTTGTTTATAATTACCTACTTACTTTCTTAGAATACTGAATACTGGTTATAGAAGATCTTTTGTCTACTGAAAGGAAATAAATGCAGTATTTACGATAGTATACACTCATGTATGTGAAGACAACACTAAGTGAAGGTGAGAGGATCCAAGTTTGGAGAAGCTGAGACAAAGCTGAGTTGTCGTGTGTAGGAAATGGAGCAATGTATAGAGATGATTGGTGTGAGATGGTTACTGGACAGAGAAGACTAGAGTCAGTGACTCTGGTGGGGACAGAGGAGAAAAGGATGGCGGGGTGCTCAGACAAAGCCTGCAGCAGAGGATCCCAGAAAGAGAGGTAAAAGGAGACGTTTGGGGGAGGTAAAATGATGTCCATGTGTTGTGTTAAATACCCATTTTATAATTAATGCTTATATAGCACTTATTGTATGCCAGGCCCTATCCAAAGATTTCACATATATTTAGTCATTTTAGTCAGTAGTTATCAGTCACAATATACCTATGAGATAGGTAAATTATTTCCGTTTTATGGATGAGAAAACTGAGGAGGATGAGGCCAAGGTCACTCAGCAAATAAACAGAAGAGGCAGGAGTCCAACTTGAGTTCTAGAATTGGCAGGGCTGACTTTGATGCTATTTTGGGTTTGCTTTTGGGAAAAGAAGAAAACTGTGATGTCCTGATACAGTGCTGGCACATGATGGAAATAGAGGCTGTTTTCTCAACCCGACCATATCTTGGTGTCAAGTACATAATAATACAAAAGAAAGATTCATAGATGATCTCTTTGTGTTATACTTATTTAAGAAGTTTAATTCTATGCCAAATGGCTTGCTGTAACCTAAAAAAAAAGCATTGTTTTTTCTAAATCAACTCTAAACTTGCTTTCGGTTTTATTATGCTATGCCTTGAAAAACTCATAGTGTCTCTTAAACATGCACAGATCTGAGCAGACACCACTTTTAGAGAGAGTCAACTTCAATGTAGAATTAAGATCTGATTCTTCCTGTGGTATTCCTTTTTATTATTAAATAAGCTTATAATGGGTCATAAATATATTGGAAGCTAATTGGTTTTAGTATCAATTAATTGCTACAATATTTATTTATAATCCATTGCTTTATTAAGTTTGATCCTTATGATAGAAATCTGAGATTATTTTTTCTTTTATTAAATATTAAACCATAATTAGCCAAGTTTAGTCCACAAACATGTGCTTACCTATATTTCTTGCTTTCCCTGGAGGTAATAAAAACAAATTATAGTCAATTACCTACAATCATTTATTTCACAAATAAATATCAGAACGTTGAGGCTATGCCCACAGATACTTATTCTGAACAATTGCTCTCTTAAAAAAATAAAAGTATACTATAGGATTTGACAGGTTCTAGGGGCTAAGATTCCTGCAATTATTTTTGTTATTTTTCCTTTTATCATTCTTTCTTCATCTTCTTTTCTTTTAACTCTCTGGCTAAATATGATATGATTTGGAAAAGTTAGTTTATTCTCCTAGGAGACAAACTCTTTCAATACCAAACTGAAGTTCAGTGTCACTCAATACTGACTAGCACAGGGGAAGGAACTCACTGGGAACACCATTTTACAAGAAGCTGACTGCTGAATGGAGCCTATGTAATCGGATGGCAGATGTTGTAAGTAAATCATTGGGATGTCTACCATCAGCCACCTGAGTATTTTTCAGTTGCCACCGAATAGCCATAAATTAATGGAGTGCTGAAAAGTCTGTCGACAATGTCACATGCCTGGAGTGACCAGGCTTTCATCTTTTCTTAGATAAACAAAATAAAGATCAGTCATAATATGATTAGCAGTTTAAAGGGACTGCTTTATTTTTTAACTTGAAAAATAAATGGAGTTTATCTATATCGAACTTTGTAATGAAAATATCCTATATCCCATAAAAATTTGTTAGCTGTCAGTCTCTTTGTTCAAAATAACAGTTAAATAACAAAGATCTATAAAATGAATTATTTCTTAAAAAGTCAGATTAGTTGCTCAAACTAAATGCATGTGTTGTGTAAGAAAGCAATATATATCTGCAAAATTTAAGCTCTGCTTATAAAAAATAAAGTGTAAAATACAAGCTCTGTTTGTAAATTAAAATGACACAGTCCATTTTGTTGATGTTTTTACTTATTCAACACTCTAAGGGCTTTAGGTGTATTTCCATTATACAACAGAAAACACTCCAGGCCTTAGGTGTATTTCCATTATACAACAGAAAGAAATGACATTCTTCCACCTTCTTATGACTATTAGGAGTTTGTTTTCAGTTTTTATAGCTCAAGTCACACCTGTGCTGCTACTCATATAAGTTTAATATATTACAGTCATAAAATGCCTCTGATGGTTGGAATTTGGTTCCCAAGAGATTATCTAAATACTAAGTTTCAGAATTTGTTTAGCAGAGGTTGCTGCTGCTCCTTCAGCACCACTCTCCTTGTCCTCTGCTGTTAGCCCCTAGACTTGTTCTAGTGGGATTAGCCTCAAAGGCCCAATAATGACATTAAATTATAGGCCCAGGAGCAGAAAACTGTTTCAGCCATCAAATTTGCTTAATATTGGCCTTGCCTCTGTTTAGTGTTATGCTACTCTTGAAGGCTGCCCTACCAATGAGCAATTCCCCCGAGCCAGGAAGAAATGTCTACTCTTTGGTTAAAAACATTCTTTCTGTGTTATTTTGTAGTTCTAGTTTCTGCACTGTTATTTGCCCTGGCACAGACCTTCCTTTCAACTCCCTGAAGCACTTCACTTATACATTTCTTACAGCATTTCTCTTACCTTGTCTTGCATTATAGTTACATTTTTACTTATGTTACTGAATTATTAAGTGTTAAGATCATAGAGAGAAAACAATGTCTCTCACTCTTCTCTCTAACTGTTTGTATACTCATCCCAGAGCATGAATTAAATGTTTGTGACTTCCGTTTGACTCTTGCTTTGGTGGCTGAGTGTAATTTTGAGAATTTCAGTTTTTAGGTATTCATTCTTTTTGTTGTTCTAACTAGATAATTTTTTCTTTTCTTTCTTTATTTTCCCTTTTGCAAAATGATTACCTAATTTCAAGCCTAGTATTTTGTAAAACAGCCTGTTCTAAAAGGTTGTTCTAATGTGCTTCCCAACAGTTTTGTAATAACCGTGCCTATGTGTCATTGGACAAAGTAAGGAAAATAATGCAGGTTTAATGGAAAAGCAGACTCCTGATGCCTCACAAAAGATGAGGAATGGCGACTCCTCAGTTATGAGAAAGCAAACAGGAGTAGAATTAGCTCCAGAAAGAAGGATCTTACTGTAGTAGAAAGTTAAGAAGGTTCTGGACATTAATTTGGCTTCCACTTACTAAATAAAGCATAGCAAGTTTAAATATGCCCTCTTTCTCATTTATGAAATGTATGTAGTAACATGTACCTTAAAAAGTTGCTATAAGGATTAAATCTGATAATATTCATTCAACCCATTTACTGGTGGCTTTTTCACGGCAGACTTTGGTCAGTGGTTCATTGTCTGAACCGTCGTGATCAGTTATGGGCCAAAAAGGTTTCAGCTGATATAAGGTCACAGGTGATAGTGCAGAAGGGTTACTATCATAGGGAACCCATAGATCAGAGAACTGAAAATGCTTATCTTGTTTAAAAAATTGCTTAAAGAGCAAGTGCTATCTCTGGTCAATATGTATTCATTCTGAGAAAGACCTTTATACTAATTGGGGATTTCCAAAATAGAGCTACAAGAGTGGGACTTGATGTGGTATATGTGTATTGTGGATATTGCAGAAACAGAATGTCAGAAAAATGAATGCAAAAATGCCTTTCCAACATGATTTTCTATGATTATAGATATACACACATATAATTTACTCTGCATTTTTTTTCCAACAGCAGCAATCTTCCAACTCTTCATACACTAACTGGATGTCCAGCAATTCAATTCAATTCTGACACTAACTATCCAGAGCTAGCATAAACTTCACAGGTTAAGGACTCAGTCCCACAAGACTACTCCCACTTCAGATGACAAAGGCAAGTCACAGTCTCCTGTACTTTTGACCAGCTGCTTATAAACCAGGGATTCCCATGATCCCATTCTCAGGTTCAACAATTTGTTAGAATAGCTCACAGAACTTAGGAAGGCACTTTACTATTACTGATTTATTGTAAAGGATACAACTCAAGAGTAACCAAATAAAAGAGGTCCATAGGGCAAAACATGCCAGGAGATGTGTGAAGCTTCCATGTCTTCTTTGGGCACACTACCTCCCAGTACCTTGTGTTCATCAATCCAGAAGCTCTCCAAGCCCCATTGTTTAGGAGTTTTTATAGAAGTTTCATCATGTAGGCATGATTGACTGTTAAGTCAATTGCCAGCCCCTCTTTCCTCCTTGGAGGTTGCAGGGAATGGGGCTGAAAGTTCCAAGTCTCTAACGGAGGTTCAGTCTTTCTAGTGACCATCCAACCCATTTACTGGTGGCTCTATCACATGGCAGGCTTCGGTCAATGGTTCATTATCTGAACCACTGTGATCAGTTATGGGTCAAATACGGGTTCAACTGATATAGGGTTAGGCCATGCTGAAGTTATTGAGGGATTTGACAAGAGTTGGTTCATTAGAACAAAATACTCTTCTATCACCCAGGAAATTCCACAGGACTTAGGAGCACTATCTCAGGAACCTGACACATAAACAAGATGTATATTTCTTATGTCACATCTGCACACATGCATGCACACATGCACACACACACACATGCATATGTTGTTGTTAGAACAGGTCTAACAATACAAATGTGATTGGTTCTCATTTTGAATTACAAAGAATAAGCATGTCTAGTTGGATTCATCAATGGAGAGATAGAAAACAAGAAAATTCTTGACAATTCTACACAGGCACATGTGAAGAACTGAGCTGAAGACAAAATTTTGGAGTAATCAATATATAAATGTAATTTTAAACCATGAGACTTACTGAGATAATTAAGGGAATTAATACATGTAAAAAATTGAAGATACAGGAAGTGAGGCCTAAGACATTCCAGCTTTAAAGAGGATCAGGAACCAGCAAAGGTAAAGACTAGCCAATAGAAACCAAAAAATGTGAATGATTGTATTTTCCTAAATGACTGCAACATTTCTCATTGCACCTGCTCTTCTTACAATGTAACTTTGACACTCATTCCGTGAAGAGGTGAGTCTCTGTTTTCTCCTCTTATACTTGCCAGGGGCTTTGTGACTGCTCTAAGCAATATTGTCAGTGGAAGTGATATTGTGACTTCTGAGGCTAGGTTATAAAAAGGATACAGCTTCTACTAGGCTTGCTCATTTGGGTATTCTTACTCTGGTGAAGCCAGCAACGATATGGAGCTTGAGGAAGCTCAAACCAGCCCATGTGGAAAAACCACATGGAGAAACCCACACATAGAGGAACTGAGTTTCCCTGTCAACAGCCAGCATCAACCTTGCAAGTGATTTTTGCTCACAGCACTTTCGTTTGCGGTTTCAGACATTTCAGAGTACAACAAAGCCAACGGTGCTGTGCTTGCTCTGAATTCCTGACCCATAGCTTCCGTAGATGTAATAAATGATTGTTTTACAGCTCTAAGTTTTGGAGTAATTTGTTACCTAGTCATAGTAACTGGTACCACAAGTTGGCCATAAGGAGATGCTACCCAGACATCTTAAATAAAAAAAAAAATTATATAGATTAAATACTTTACTTACACAGAAAACAGGTTGTATAGCAATTCCAAATAGTTATTAGTTAATCACTATTGCAATATTTCTTGAGATCCAAGGAAGGGAAGGAGGCTAATATTAATAGTTTTCTATTCATTCATTTATTCAATCAACATTCATTAATTCATTCAATATACAAACATACATACACATACACAGAGATATATATGTATATATAATAAATACATAAATACACACACACATCATGGCATGGCTCTCAGCACTTGGGATATTAACAGAGAACAAAACAGGCAAAATTATCTGTTCTCATACATGGTGCCCTGTACTAGAAACAGTGAGTAGAAGACAAACAAGTAATATGCGATCTGTCAGATGGATAAAAGTCCTAAGGAGAAAAGTAAAACAAGAAAGAGAAATGAGGATTGCAATGAGAGGAGAAAGCGGTAGAGGGTTGTGACTTTACATAAAGTAGTTAGCGGAAGCCTCTATGAGACGGCAAACTTTGCAGGGAAAGAGGAAGGAAGCCTTTTGTGTATCTGTAGGTGGAGGAGATGTGTTCTAGGCACAGAGAATTACAATGGAAAAGGTTGAGGGCTGGAACAGAGTGAGCAAAAGGCAGAACAGCAATATATGAAATCAGAGAGGCAAGGCAGGGCACAGGCAGAAGATGGATGGTTAGTAACGATTAGGCTTTTCTGGTTCTTCTGTATATCCTTTGTTCTTTTCTTTCTCTCTCATTGTTTATCATTTTGTACTTTGAGTAACCTGGGATGTCTTTGCAGGGTTTTGAGGGGGGTAGCATGGTCTGACTTACATTTTAACATGCCAATTTGGCTGCTGTGTTGAGAATAGTTTTGGGCGGAGGGGAGGCAGGAGGAATATGGAAGAAAGAAGGGTCAGTTTGGAGGCTATTGTGATAATCCAAGGTACAGATGATTTTAGCTCAGACCAGACAGGCAGCGGTGGAGGTAGTGCGAAATGGTTTATGTTTTTGGGTGTATTCCAAATTATCTGTACTGGATTAAGTGGGGAATGTGACTAAAAGAAAAGAATTGAACATGATTTCCAACTGTCCTGAACAATTAGTAATATAGAAGCCTACTTACAAAATGAGGAAGACTGTAGGAAAAATAGATTGTGGAGAAAAATACCAGGAATTCATTTCTGGACAAGTTTAACATGCCAATTAGACATTCAAATGGAAAATGGAACAGTCAGAAGTAAGAGTTTAGAAATCAATGGAAAGATCTGAGCTGAAGATAAAATTTGGGAGTAATAAATATATAGATGTAATTTTGAAACCATGAGACTTACTGAGATAATTAAGGGAATTAATACATGTAAAAAATTGAAGATCCCGGGAGTGAGGTCTAGGACATTCTAGCTTTAAAGAGGACCAGGAACCAGCAAAGGTAAAGACTGGCCAGTAGAAACCAAAAAAGTGAAATCCACCAGGGAACTGAAGAAATTGTTGCAAACAAGAGGAGTAATCAACTGTGACAAATGTTTCTGACAGGTGAAGTAAGTTGAAGACTGAGATGGACCATTGGATTTAGTAATGTAGAATCATAACTGACTTTGACAGACACACTTTTGGTGAGGTTGTGGGGTTTATAGACTAATGGACCTGGGTTAGAGAGAACCTAATAAGTGGTATTAGAAAGAGTAAATGTATTAATAGAAGAATTTGTTATAAAAGGGGGATATAAAAGTAGTCTAGCTGGCAGGGAAAATGGAGTTAGAAAGTTTTGATTGTTTTTAAAGATGGGAGAAATAATAGCATATTTGTATATTGAAGATTTTATAATGATGACCTAGTAGATCCAGTAGAAAGGGAGATACAGAAAACATAGGCAGTAGAGAAAAGAATTCTAGACCCGTGTCCCTGAAGATGGAAAAGCAAAAGTTCCATCATAGACATAAATGGGATTTGTCCTTAGATAGAGATTGGTCTATGGAGGTTGGTCTATGGAGATGGTCTATGGAGATGGTCTAGATAGAGGTTGGTCTATGGAGATGGTAGAAAGACAGAGTTAGATGGATGCCAACAGAAAAGGGGTGGATTAGGGATTAAGAGCCTATAGACCTTCCCTTCCTCTGGTTCAACTTTCTCAGTGAGGGAAGCAAGATCTTCATCCAAGAATGGGAATGGGGAGGTGGCACAAGAATTTGTAACATAAGTGGATGATTTAATGAACTAAAAAAATGTAGTAGAATTACCAGGCAGGAAAAGTGCCCTCTCTAGGTTGGTAGTCACATATTTAAAGTGAGATAATTCAACATTGTGTAAATTTATTTACTATAATTCTTGATTCTTGATTGTGTGTTTTTCTTTTTGAGACGGAGTCTCTCTCTGTCGCCCAGGCTGGAGTGCAGTGGCACGATCTCGGCTCACTGCAAGCTCCGCCTCCCGAATTCACGCCATTTTCCTGCCTCAGCCTCCCAAGTAGCTGGGACTACAGGCGCCCGCCACCACGACCGGCTAATTTTTTGTATTTTTTAGTAGAGACGGGGTTTCACCCCGTTAGCCAGGATGGTCTTGATCTCCTGACCTCGTGATCCATCCATCTTGGCATTCCAAAGTGCTGGGATTACAGGTGTGAGCCACCAAGCCCGGCCGATTGTGTGTTTTTCTAAAGCCGTGCTCAGCTGTGCAGGAATAGCCATGGAGAAAGAAAAGGGTTATATTTAACCAGGCATGCGACTTTTTCCAAACAAGGATGGTAGAATATAAGAAGTGAGAGAGTTACAGATTTTCACAAGGAAAGGATTACAGTGATTGCCACAGGATTCAAATTGGATTAAATGGCCAGAGAAGCCATGAAGGGGGCTGAGGAAAATTAAAATAGTAGTAGTATCAATGAGTTGAAGACATCAGTACTTTTGCAGTCAGGAAATCAGAAGAGAACCGGAAAGAGGTAGTGATGAGCGCTGGGGGAATGTTTATTATTAAAACTGTGGAAAGTACATCTACTGGCAATAAAAGGCCTAAGTCACTATCATGGAAATAAGTGGCTAAGGTAGAATGGAGGAAGAGGTCATTGGAGGAGAAGAGTTGAAGGAACTCCAAAGCCAAAGGACTAAAAGCTTAACCTGCCTGGGTATTAAAATCATCCAGAAATGTAACAGGAGTCATTTTGGCCTGAGTGATGGTACGCCGGGAATAAAAATCTTCAAGTAATGAGTTATAGTATCCAAGAAGTCAGTAGTTTCTAAGGTTCCAGAAAAGAGGTTTGAGTGTTTTTGTGTGAAAAGAGAAATTTTGTGTGTGTCTGGGGACAGGGTTGGGGGTAGGGTTCAACAAGTGTGAGAGATAAGAGGAAAGAAAAGGAAAGAGGATACAGGTCAAGTGCTGTGTGATGGAAGGGCCAAGAGAACACTCCCACCTGTGGGTTGGCCAACAAGGGTTTCGAAGAACATAAGTGTATGATTTGCCTGTGGCTTGCTATCCACTGAATTCTGTGACCCTGTCTCTTATGCTCACCTTTGGAGTAATGTCAACCAGACTCATAAATGTTTTGTGCATTTTTTTTTAAATGTTAATATTATTTTGTGGAATTTTATGAAGCTACTCTCTTCCACATTTTTATCATCAGAGGAGTGAGTAGAGACTAACAGAAAGATGGAAGCGGCCAGGTGAGGTGGCTCACACCTGTAATCCCAGCACTTTGGAATGCCAAGGTGGATGGATCACAAGGTCAGGAGTTCGAGACTAGTCTGGCCAACATGATGAAACCCCATCTCTATTAAAAAATAAAAAAAATTAGCCAGATGTGGTGGCGGGTGCCTGTAGTCCCAGCTACTCGGGAGGCTGAGGCAGAATTGCTTTAACCCAGGAGGCGGAGTTTGCAGTGAGCGGAGATTGCACCACCGCACTCCAGCCTGGGTGACAGAGCAAGACTCTGTCTTGGAAAAAATAAATAAATAAATAATAAGATGGAAGAAAGAGGCAGAGGAGGCCAAGAGAATGTAAACCTCCTATAAATTCAGATAAAGTTTGGGGAGTGCTTTGGAGATCCCTAGGTTGCAAATTTGGTGGGCTGTAAGAGGGGAGTTTTAGTCGTTTCCTTTACTGTATTAGGAAGCTAGGAGCAGATATGCCCACGTATCTTTGCTCTATATCTGTGTATGCGGTATCCATGTTATAATTTACCTACAGCAGTGTTTTTCAGCTTTCTAAAAAACATTGTCTCCCTGTGAAACCTTTGTGCACAGTTTTTTCCTAATTACCCCCACTCCATGAAATTGTAACACCACTGATATAAGGTACAATTGTTTGTATACTGGAATCTTTTGGAAGGCCGCAGACCATTGTAGGATCTAAGATTTCTCACTCTACCCAAGAACCAATTTTGCCCCTTTGAAGGTGATATTGGTTCCAGTGAGCAGTAGAACGTAGAGATATAAATATCTATATGCTGAATTTTTCAGTCTGGTGTTCTTTTTACTATAATTGTATTATCTTGCTCAAGGTAAACTTACTGCTTTCTAGAGATATTTCTTTTGGGAAAAATGATCTGTCACCTTTCTCAAATCCTGTGCTACAATGTCATTTTTTTTTTCTTCATACCTATGTCCAGTAAGGATTTCCCAGTAGATTTTTCCAAGCAATTTAATTCCTTATTAGTGTGGCTGATTCATGAACACTTAAGCAGGTTTCCACTTTCCTTGGGGGTCCAGGCACATGTTAAATGGTTTTGTATCATTATGGACTAATCCTTAGTAATAGAACATGATCCCAGAACAGCTGCTTAAATGACTTGGCCTCCTGGTACACATTTCAATTTTTTTAGAACCATAAATCTACAATCATTTGTAGCAAACATTCTCTCCACTCACACCAGATGTGGGTGGAGGAATAGGATGGGGATGAAGAAAGTAAAGGTAGATAAAATAATTGTGTATTTTTGGTCTTTTGTACAACTTGGATTTCCAAATTCCATGTTCAATGTATCTTACCATCCCCCCTTGGTGTCATGAGTTGAGGTAGAAATTTCTATCTGAATGTCATAGCTTACCTTTTATTTTACAAAGTACAGTGATATTGTGTTATATAACCTTACACATTTCTCAGTGTGTGCTTGTATAATAGATACAAATATGTTGAGTATATATATATGTATACATTACAGCTACAAATACACATTTGGAGCTAGAATGTCCATTAAATACATAAATGTTTAAAATGTTTATACATGTGTGTGTGCCTATCTATCTATCTATCTATCTATCTATCTATCTATCTATCTATCATCTGTCTATCTATCTATAATGTATTAGTTGGCTTAGTCAGCTAGGGCTGCCATAACCAAATACCACACACTAAGTGGCTTAAACAACAGCAATTTATTTTCTCACAGTTTTGAAGACTGGAAGTCTGAGATTAAAGTGTTGCCAGGTTTGGTGTCTCTGGAGGCCTGTCTCCTTGACTCGGAGAGGCGCCTTCTCACTATGTCATCATGTGGTCTTCTCTCTGCATGCGTGCATCCCTGGTGTCTCTGTCTCTTTTTGCAAGGACACCAGTCATATTGGAATAGGGACCCACACTAATAACCTCATTTAACCTTAGTTTCCCTCTTAGAGGCTTTCTCGAAACACAGTGACACTGGGGCTTAGTGGTTTAGCATATCAATGTTGGGAGGGCACAATGCAGTCCATAACATTTATTTATTTATTTGTTAATTTGTTTGTTTAAGACAATAGCACTTTTAGTTACTGTGAGTTTGGTTACAGATGTATCCAATACAGTGACCCTAAAAATGGCAATACAGTAACTTCATACACAGGAACCATGATATCAGTTTGTATCTGGAATGTGCATCTAATTTATAGTATGACTTTTATTACTAGAGCCATTAGAAAGATGATGCAGTGATATGTACTTAGTAGTCGTCATGTAATTATTATAATTATTTCCAAGACTAGTGATCTCTAAGGCCAGGGATAGTTTTTTCCTGACGTAGGCATAGGTCTTAGGAACAAAAGAGGAGGGTGAGAATAGACCAGCTATGCACCTTCTTCTTTAATCTATTGCTTAGCTTCTGATTAATGAATATTGATGACAACTATACATTTTTCTTGATATGAGCAGGACAATTGAAGTTTAGGAAGCACTATAACTATTTTAGCACTTGAATTTATTTTTCTTTTTAAAAATCAGTATATCCAAAGTAAATAATCTACCCTTCCTCCTGTCTAAAACATTAAATACTTAAAGAAAATATCTGCATGACAGCAATATAAAGTGTTAAGCCAATCCAGATGTTTAGATCTCTTTATATTGGATTTGACTTAAACTAAAACTTCAGTAGCATAAATTTGGCCTTAAACCATAGCTATACATACCATTATATATTGTCCCCCAATTTTGTTTTTATAAAATGGCATCACATTACAAGACATTAAAGGGCAATTTGCCTGTTTTCCCCTATAAACAACATATTGTAACCATTTGCTTTTCAGGTAAATTTTTTATAGATCTAACTAGTTTTATAAATGTAATAGCTACATAACATGGATATTGTGTAATTTATTCAATTTCCCTAATAGTGGTCATTACTGTTTCCAGTTTTTGTCACTCCAAATAATGCTGCAGTAAGTACTATTATAATATAGTCTAATTTACTGTTATATTTATTTCTGAAGGTCAGAGTCTTAGAAGTAGGACTGCTTTTTCAAAGCGCATGTGTACTTGACAGTTTATTGAAACTGCCAAATATTTTTAGAAAAATCTTTCCACAAACTTTATATACATACACTTATCTCAGTATATTTTTAAGATCATCAGTTTCTTACACCTAATAAACACTTGCTATCATCAATTGTTTTAAATTTGTCCATCTAATTAATAAAAAGTGGTATCAGGTCATGTTGGCATTTTTATTTCCCTGGATCGGATATTATTTCATAGATTTATTATTCATTTTTACTTTTCTGCTCAACCTGTTTATTATGAAACCTATTATCCCACTAAATTTAAATGCAGCTTTTATTACACAGTAAATGCATACATATATACATATTTGGAATTGTTTATACACTCTATTCTGTCCCACAAATTCATTTGTGGTGTTGTGGATATGTATGTACATGTGTCTGTCCAATTCTTTTGATCATAGTAACCCGATAGCATAATTTAATGCTTATGATTTAGTACCCTATAATAAAATACGTTTCCACTGCCAAAATGTAAGAAAAAAGTAATTATCTCATCTGGAAGATTTATTAAAAGTATGATCATATTATAGCCTTGATTCCTTAGGTACTTACTTTGTTGCTTGAGGTCTTCAATGAGGGTGATATGCTCAGGATAAATGGGAAACTCCTTTCCTTCAGTATTTTATATGGTGGTATTGTGAAGACTGCTGCACTTAATTTTACAAATACAGTGTTATAAAATGCAATACAAAATAGGTTCATTTAAGCTAAAACATCTTTCGATTATGACATAATATATTTCTGCTTAAAAATTTAAATACATTTGTTTAAAACAAGTATGTGTATGGCAAAATAAACTTTGAAAATCAAAGCTCCATTTCAGCCTAACAGAAAAAGAAACATTCTTCCTTTCCTATAGAGAGCAGCTGTCATGTTACAGGCATCTCGTTCTGTTGGGGAATTTGATGATGGCTTTAAGAACCTTGAAGTTTCCAGAGCAATTTAAATATGATCTTTAATGACTTTGGAGTGGATTAGCCCTTGACCTTTCTGTTCCCATGGTATTTTTCTCATCTAGCTTTGACATATGTAAAAGAAAATTGTGCTCTTCAGATCACTTTGAAACTTCCAATTATGTCAAGAGGCTTAACTTGATTTTTGATTGACTTATAATGGCAAGAACTGATCTCTGGAGGGAGTAACAGATGCAAATCAGTGTTCTTTAGGACTCTATTTTGTCAGCTGTAATTTTCTTAATACTAAAAGGAAACATTTAAAACTAATAAATTTGTGATGTGATTTATGTTTATGTAATTTTGGAAAAAAATATAATTGATCTCCCAAAGAGTGCAAATTAGATTCTTTGGTATGATTGTTGTTCCTGTATTATTTCTCATCATTTCCCATTTGCTTTTAAAATCCACATAGAAGGTATATTTTCATATGAACTTAATTTGGGATAATGTAATAATAAGGTTAAAACCCACTTTCCAAATTGAGTAACTGACAAAAGGAAGCTCTTATAAGCAGAGCTTCAGATACAACTAGAAGAGGGGGTAAGCAGATACCTGTATAGAAAGCAAGATGAGATATAGAAGAAGACATGTAGAAAATCTCAAGGTGGTTAAAAGAAACACGAAATAACCACTAAAATAGTCTGCGCTTTAAATACAATAATGTCTGTCTTATATAAACATTGCTGTACAGGAAAAAGAGCATTTTACAGAATAGATATACTTTAAAAATTAACTTTATAACTTAATTATTTATGTAAATCTATATAGAACGAGAGTCCAGACTAGGAAAAAATAGATAATTCACATTAAGAATGTGGAATTTGAAGGTATTGATGGATAGAATATTTCTGTTCAAATTTATAACTGTTGAATATGATTCTAAATGAACTATTCTAAATGAAGTACAAATGAAAAGAGAGACATTGTCATTTCTGTGAATGAGAAAATTAGATGAAAAAATAAAACTTTTTTTTTTTTTAGCCAAGTAATAGTCTACCAGCCACGATGTAGTTTTGGTTTTAATTGTTGTGTCCTAGTAATATAGACATTTATCTCATTTACAAGATTTACAGTGAAGGTGTTAGACAAGCGCATGGCAATTTGTTTTAGTTAAATTTGTGCATTCATTTAATTTCTCTATTCTTGTTTTCAAAGATAATAAGTGTTATGGGTTGAACTGTGTCTGCAAAAATTCATACGGTGAAGTGCGAACCACAAGTATTAATAGAATGTGACCTTATTTGGAAATGAGGTCATTGCAGATGTAATTAAGTTAAGATGAGGTCACATTAGAGTAGAGTGGGCCTCTAATTCAGTATGACTGGTGTCCTGATAAAAGAATGCCATGTGAGGAGAAAGACATACACAGGGAGAATTCTGTGTAAAGATGAAGGCAGAGATTGGGGTGATGTTTCTACAAACCAAGGAACACCAAAAATTGCTAGCGAGTCCCCAGAAACTGGGCGAGAGGTATGGTATTTGTTCTTCCTCACAGCTCTATGAAAAAAAAAACAGGGGTGACACCTTGATCTTGGACTTCCAGCCATCAGAACTGCAAGACAACACATTTCTGGTGTTTAAGCAGCTCAGTTTGCAATACTTCGTAATAGCAGATCTAACAAACTAATATAATAAACATCCATTAATCTTTCCAATTTTTTGTGACGAAGTTAAAACCAATAGAATGGAAATAAATAATGACAAATAAACAATAAACATAGAACAGAGAAAGCATGAGTTATAGTGCCAGCATGAGGGGCAAAGATTAGTAAAACCGAAAATTCAAGTGAAAATTTACCAATATATTTACAAAAACAGAAAATTAACCAACTACATGTACTAAATAAGGAGCAATGTTATGATCACAATACCTTTGTTCCTGGGCCAGTAATTAAAATTGCATTGATTCTACAAATGGAAAGGTACCATTTCTTACTCTGCTAGTATAATATATAGCTCTTCAGTTCATCCATAATCTGTCTACCTATCTTCAGCTACTCTGTTTATTTATTTACTGGTAACAATAAATTCTGCTAAAATTAGCTGTATTGAATATGTTGGATATTGCATATTGATTTATTATTTCAGCCTAAGACTTTAGCCTCACAAATAATTAGTGTTATGAATAGAGTTCTTTCACCCTGCTAATTTTTCTGTTGGAAGGAAAGAAGGAAGAAAGGAAGGAAGGAAGGAACTTAAGATCTTTTGAAAAATAACTAAAATTTGATTGAGACCTCTTGGGAAAGGAATAAAATTTAAAAATTATATCCCCAAAGGATCCCCAAAACATTTTTAAATAAAGCTAAATTTTGAAATTTTTATTGGATTTAGCTAGCTGTGTTCAGATATCAAGGTATAGGTTTAAACACTTGCTTCATTTTTCCCAGAGTTGGGGAGAAAAAAAACCTGGAGAGCTAAAAGTTAATACAACTAAACAGTTTATTTAGATTACATCATTACGTCATTAATAATGCCCAAAAGATAGGACCTCCCTCTATATGTCACGCAATGCTTACAAAAGTCTCCCACAGACCAGCTTATACACTGAAATGTTAAGCATCTCTTTTTGCTACTCAAGTTTCTTAGATATATAGCAAGATATAGTATTATACAAGACACATACTTTCACTCAGAAAAGCATGTCTTATTGAACATTACTATATTATTTATAAATATATTTTCAGTTTTATAAAAGCAAAGGACGAAAGTATGCAAAAACAGCAAAAATATTGAAGTAGCATTTTACCTAAATTAAAATATACCACATTATGTTTACCTTGAAACTCTTAAGACTTCACCAAAGAAAGTCAAATAAAATCATTCATGTGAATTGAAGTCAAAGCTCTATTTTTGTGTGATTTTGAGCAAATAAAATAATTCTTAGCTTTTTTGGAGAGAAATATTGGGTGGAATGAATAATCTGCTGTGCTTTTCTTTTTGATTTTATGGAATTTTTAAAATTACTATTCTATTTGAACTGTTGTCCGAAAAAGTAATGCAGAATTTGTGAGAAGTTTGTTGATTTCAGGGAATATATTTTCTTTCTGTAAAACAGGGGTAACCCTTCCCTAACTTAGTGGATGAGGTTGCTATGATGAACTCTTAAAATAATGCATATGGTGTTTCTGTGTATGTGTCAAGCCCTATACCAAAACAAGGGATTATTATTTTATATGAAGATGTCTCCAACTGACTCTGTACACTTGGTTTTTCTTTTTCTCTGAATTATGCTTGTACTCTCAGTTAGTGACGCACATGTTTGTTCATGTTTGAATCCTTTCATTTATTTAATACAGTCAAATTTCAATCTTTAAAAGACTTTTATTTACATTTTTAGAAGATTTATTTGAGCAGCATAGAAAAACATGACAGAACACTTCACAGGTCACTTTTCACAATAAAATAGGCAATAATAACATACTTATTTTGTAAGCATAAACATACACTCTAATAATGACAGACATGTGAGTATAACATTTATGAGCAGATGAAAGTACTCATAAAAAGATCCAAAAGCAAAATGTATAAACACATATCACTATGGTTGTTAATTGTGTGCAACCAACTTTATAATTGTAGTCATCTGAAGTATTGTGACAGACAACCTAAATCTTCTTTTTTTCAACTTTAATTTTAGATTCAGGGGGTACATGTATAGGTTTTTTTGTTTTTTTTTTAACCTGGCAATATTGCGTGATGGTGAGGTTTGAGGTACAAATGATCTCATCACCCAGGTACTGAGCATAGTACCCAATAGTTAGTTTTTCAATCCTTGCCCCCTTCTTTGCCTCCTCCCTCTAGCAATCCCCAGTGTATTTTTGCTATCTGTATGTGCTTGAGTACCCAATGTTTAGCTCCCACTTATAAGTGAGGACATGTTGTATTTGCTTTTTCTATTCCTGCCTTAATTCATTAATGGCCTCCGGTTGCATCCATGTTGCTACAAAGGACATCAATTCATTCTCTTCTGTGGGTGTGTAGTATTCCATGGTGCATATGTACCATTTTTTAAATCCAGTCCACCACTGATGGGCACCTAGGATGACTCCATGTTTTTGGTATTGTGAATAGTGCTGTGATGGACATATGAGTGCATGTGTCTTTTTGGTACTGTTTTTCAACTTGGTTTTTCCTTTTAAATGTTGTTGTGCCTATTATATGTTCTCTGTGTGTCCTTATAAGTACAGAAAATAAATTTCTATTTTATGTATGTACATGTAAAAATATTATTGTATATGTAATTTAATGTAAATATATATAAAAAAATATTTATATTGCCCAATTTCTTGTTCTTTGCCTATTCTTTTGGTTCAGCATATACAATTTTTTCTTTCCTTATCCACTTAAAGCTTCTACTCATGTTTTTCACTTTCTTCAAATGTCATTTTTTAGAATTTGCCACATTTATTTAAATACTTCTCTTTCCTCCTAAATTATAATTTCCTGAAAGGCAGGAAGTTATAGGATTTTGTTCTATTCCCTTTTGTATTCATAGCATCTACCCCTTTGCACATAACAGATACTTAATAAATGTTGAATGAATTAGTTATTAATTTGAAGAAAGTTAAATTCAAAGTGAATACGTGACTAAAATATGAAATATATTTTAGTCATGTATGACATTTGACATTTGACATTTAAATATTCAAATTGGCATTAATTGATCTGATGGCATCTTTAGGTGGTCAAGATAAACACTTTTAAACAAATAATAGTGCTTACCAATAATGTAGATTTCTTTTTCTATGAACTTAGAAATATATAAAGCTAATAATGTTTAAGCTGAATAAATGTTAGATACTTTTTATTATTATTATGAAATACATCACACAGATATGTGGATATGTGTGTGTGTGTGTGTGTGTGTGTGTATGTAAAGGCTGAAAAATAAAGTTGTAAACACAAATCTATATAATGAAATGTTACTATTTTCTAATAAATATTAGATGAAGTTCTCAGGAAAAGATAAGCTAATGGACTATCTGTGTAACAGACTGGCTTCAGTTTTCCTGAGATCATCTAAGAGCCCCTCAGGGAAGTCAATGGACGAGGTCATGAGTGAGGCCTGGGGTACACATGGGGCAGCACCGTGGTATGGACCCAGTGGAATACATCCAACAGAACTACAGAAAGAAAGAGTGGGTGGCTCTAGTTATTCTGTCATTATGAGTATTCTTATTATGGCCCTTCTGTACATTGCAGGAATATGTCAAATTAAAACACATTTGCAGTGAAATGAATGACCCAACTGATCCAGACAGCAGACATGCATGGTACAGCAATAACTTTATCACATAAGACAAACCAAGGATAGATAAAAACCTAGGCTACGCTTATCCATAAATTCTGTCCTCAGGCAAAAAATCAGTTCAATGGGAGCAGGTATGTTGCTGATAACCACCATACTGCACCTTTTTCTTAAGTTATGTGGTTCTGCTTTATGTTCATTGCTGTTGAAATCTGGGGGCATAGCTGTCATATACGATTTTCTTTCATTTTCACTTCACTTCCTTCTTGTGTGGAATCTCCGGTTTCCTATATTCCATACCTTCTTTTTCATAGGTTAATTATTTTGTCTTGCTAAAATTCAACTTCCAGAAGCTTCCTGAGAGAGTATTCACAGAGACTTGTGTTATTCTAACCTCATATTCGATTGACATTTTAAGTGGGTACAGAATTCTAGGTTGGAAATATTTTTTTCTCAGAAATTTTATTTTATTTTAAGTTCTGGGATACATGTGCAGGATGTGCATGTTTATTACATAGGTAAACATGTGCCATGGTGATTTGCTGCACTTATTAACCCATCACCTTAGTATTAAGCCCAGCTTGCATTAGCTATTTATCCTGATGCTCTCACTCCTCTCAACCCCACTCCCTGACAGGTCCCAGTGTGTGTCATTCCTTCCCTGTGTCCGTGTGTTCTCATTGTTCAGCTCCCATTTATGAGTGAGAATATGCAGTGTTTGGCTTTCTGTTCCTGCATTAGCTTGCTGAGGATAATGGTTTCCAGCTTCATCCATGTCCCTGAAAACGACATGAACTTGTTCTTTTTTATGGCTGCATAGTATTCCATGGTGTATATATACCACATTTTCTTTGTCCAGTCTAGCATTGATGGGCATTTGGGGCTGATTCCATGTCTTTGCTATTGTAAATAGTGCTGCAATGAACATACACAGGCATGTATCATTATAATTGAAGGATTTATATTCCTTTGGGTATGTACCCAATAATGGGATTGCTGGGTTAAATGGCATTTCTGGTTCTAGACCTTTGAGAAATCACCACACTGTCTTCTACAATGGTTGTAGAATGTATTCTTTTGAGAATTACCTGTTCATGTCCTTTGCCCACTTTTTACTGAGGTTGCTTGGTTTTTTTCTTGTAAATTTGTTTAAGTTCTTTGTAGATTCTGGATATTCGACATTTGTCAGATAGAGAGATTGCAAAAATTTTCTCCCATTTTGTAGGTTGTCTGTTCACTCTGATGATAGTTTCTTTTGCTTTGCAGAAGCTCTTTAGTTTAATTAGATACCATTTGTCAATTTTTTGTTGCAATTGCTTTTGACGTCCTCCGAATTTTGAAACCACTAGTTCATTATCTTATTTTTAGAAGTGTATTTTATTTTTAGAATTCTTTTTAGAAGTGTAAAGCACCCTAATCTCTTCTTTCTTGAAATTTATAGAATCCCTATGTTCTGAAGTGTGTTGATAGGCTTTTGTGTGTTTTTATATTGCTATATTTTTTGAGAGCACTATGGACATTAAAATCTAATATCTCATGTTCTCAGGGTATTTTCTTGAATTATTTCCTTGACAATTTTCACTTTCTATATTCCCTAATTTCTCTTGTTATAACTCATATAATTTGAATATGGACCCTACTGGAATAATCCTCTAATTGTTTTTATTTGCCTTACCTTTTTTTTCTATTTTTACCCAGTCCTTTTGTTTTAATTTCTGGGAATTTTCCTCAAGTTTACCCACATGTGTTTTTATTAATATTTTTAAATCAGGTGTGTGCCACCACGCTCAGCTAATTTTTGCATTTTTTGTAGAGACAGGGTTTTACCATGTTTCCGGGCTGGTCATAAACTTCTGTGCTCAAGGGATCCACCCGCCGTAGCCTCCCAAATTGCTGGGATTACATAGCTTCTAATTCCTTTTTTTGGTATTTGTCATTATCTTCTTTTCCATTCTCTTTTTTCTTGTCAGTTTTTAATTTTCTATAATTTTCTTTACATTCACAGAAAGATTAAAAAATTTTAGCATTTATGTCAATGGATCTTTTTATTTGCTATTTTGGACTGCTATAAGATTGTTTATATTTATATAATAGAATGTAAATTGTTCTTTTTTTCAGTGTTTGTGATGTTTTAGATAGAGCATGGATAAATATTTTAATTTTAATATTTATGACCTTATTTTAATGGATGCTAATTTTTTTTAAATTTTA
Source organism: Homo sapiens (assembly GCF_000001405.40). Classification (NCBI taxonomy): domain Eukaryota; kingdom Metazoa; phylum Chordata; class Mammalia; order Primates; family Hominidae; genus Homo; species Homo sapiens. The sequence continues at coordinate 83,814,169 of NC_000007.14, forward strand.
TTATTATTATACTTGAAGTTTTAGGGTACATGTGCACAACGTGCACGTTTGTTACATATGTATACATGTGCCATGTTGGTGTGCTGCACCCATTAACTCGTCATTTAGCATTAGGTATATCTCCTAATGCTATCCCTCCCCCCTCCCCCCACCCCACAACAGTCCCCAGTGTGTGATGTTCCCCTTCCTGTGTCCAAGTGTTCTCATTGTTCGATTCCCACCTATGAGTGAGAACATGCAGTGTTTGATTTTTTGTCCTTGTGATAGTTTGCTGAGAATGATGGTTTCCAGTTTCATCCATGTCCCTACAAAGGACATGAGCTCATCATTTTTTATGGCTGCATAGTATTAATGGATACTAATTTTTATCTATTACTTATTGCAAATGACTCTGGTTTATGTATACAACTATGATATACATTTTATTTTCTATATGGATTATAGTTAAACAGTCAGTTGGCTTAAAATTTAAAAACTAAATAATAGTACATGCAGTTTGCTGATATGGCAAAATTCATTAAGGTGATTTGCAAATGATGATAACTTTAGAAACATATGAAAGCTTAGTTTTATAAAGAGATTCCTTTCCCTGAAAACAATTCCTCTTTCGTGAACATCTCTCTGTTCCTTGGACACTAATACTTTGTATACAAACAACCAAAGAAATAAATATCTGCTTCTCATGCTGTATAGCATGGTCATCTCAGTGGTAGAACTTATGGTGGTTAACACCGATATTAGCTGTTAAGCAATAAATAATTGCCAAATTGCTAACACTTTGATGTAAATAAAATTACCAATCCTTTTTCAGTCTGATCGGCTATGAGCAAAGACATGTTAAAAACTGAACAGGCTTGAGAGGCCTAGGCAGGTGGATCACTTGAGGCCAGGAGTTCAACACCAGCCTGGCCAATATCGCAAAACCCTGTCTTTACTAAAAAATACAAAAATTAGCCGGGTGTGACAGCTCAAGCTTGTAATCCCTGCTATTCAGGAGGCTGAGACTTGAGAATCACGTGAACCCGGGAGGTGGAGGTTGCAATGAGCCAAGATCGCACTACAGCACTCTGGCCTGGGCAACAGAGCGAGACTCTGACTCAAAAAAAAAAAGAAAAAAAAAATTAAAACTATAGGACATTTTACATAGAAAGAGGTACAACAGATCCAGATGAATATTCAGAGCAGATGAGCTGAAAGGAGAACAGAAGCCAGAGGTGCTTTGGGGTAATGATAGGAGTAGGAAAAGAGTTCATGAGTTGTCAGTGAAGATGATAAGATGAACAATTAAAGAAAACATGAATAACCTTGGTTTGTTTCAAAATTTTTGCCAACATAAGTACTGTAAATAAATATTAATATTAATTCATACATCTTTCAAAAATGTATATTATGTGTTGTAGTCTTTAATTCTCTGGTATAGGTGAGTGAAAATGGCAATTATTGTAAATTATTAGTGCTTATTTATCAAATGTATACAGCTCTCAGAAGTGCTTTTTTAGATACACATTTCTTCCCTGAAAATCTTTCAATTTGAAATAAATATTTATGATTCTTTCCAATCTTTTATATGACTTTCTATAAACTCCCCTGTGATATTTCACCACTTACTTAGCAATAAATGAATTGCCCAACTTTATTTAAGACCAAGTTGATAACATAATCTAACCAATACATGTTGTGACAATTTTAAGACTTAAATTATTTAAGTGAAAGTAACAAAAGCAAAGAGCTAGAGAAAATTCTAATTAGGGAAAATGAGTGCCTGCAATTAAAGGTGAGCTCTCCATTCTCCATCATCTAAATTAATTACATCACCTGAAATGTATGGGATATATTTCTTTGGCTTTGAGAAACACCTTTTTTAGTTAGCATGTGTTCTTTGGACTATATATTATACCCAAATTTCTTTCATAGATTTTAATATTTATAATAAATAACCCAGGCAATGAAAATATTGTTTTTTTCAATTCAAATCTATTAGCTTTGAAATATTGTCATTGGGAATTTAATTAAATATTCATACTTAGTATTAAACATTTATGGTACACAGTTTGCAACAATATTATTTAAACAGTATGATACAAGTTTTTAATTAAAGCATTTGATCAAACTGTGATGTTTAAACAAATTAAAATACTCAAAATCTAAGTGTCATAACATCAGTGTTTTGAAGTCATGCATTTTTGCCCCTAACTGGCCTACTCATTACTGATATTTTCTAACTATTCCTACATGAAAAAAAAATGAACTTATTTAAAAACTGTAAATTCAATAGCAAAAGCTACATTTTAAAATTACAAAAATTAAAATTAAAACTAAAATTAAAATTGCAAAATTAATACAAATTAAGACAAAACATAAAATGTTTTAGTTGGACTAGGAAAAGGATGGTTCGTGCTTTTGCATTTTTACTTTCTAATGTCTGGTTTTAGCTAGATTCTACTAAGAATGTGAACAAATATAAAAACAAATTATTTGCTTAACTTATGAAAAAAGTTGATATTCCATTATTACAAGACAGTTCCAACATTACTAAATCAATGATGTAGCTAAAAGGGAATGAAAGACGATAAATACTTAAAGAGGCTTTATTTGGGTTTTAAGATAAATGTTGATTACTCTAAAAGGCTTACTTTTTGGCATTAGAAATGTATTCGCAATGATTTAAGTTGCAGTAATATTTTCAGATGTGCTCAGTCTTATCATCGGGTGAAGAGAGAACCCATCTATTGTGTTTTGCTTTCGTATTCTATTTTAAATCCATTCCAATCAAGGTTTGTCATCATTATGCCATTGAAACTTCTTTTACAAGGAAACCAATGATCTTCACGTTATGAAATCCAACTGTCAATTCTCAATCCTCATATTATTTGGCTGTCAACCCCAACTCACATTAGTCACTCTACAATAGATTAAAAATAATCATAAATTCTTTTACACTCCTTTCAGTGAGAGTCAAGGTCTACAGACCCTCTCCTGTATGGTAGAGGACACATTACCAGTTTCTGGACCCAGATCTTAAGGCACAGGCAGTGTTTATGTCCTGTCTTAAAGTACACATTCATTGTCAAAGCCCTAAGCCAGTATGTAATAAGACTGATTATGCTGACTGTCCCTTTGGAGATGTCATTTATAGGTGCTTTGGTAGACAGTCCTAGTTGAGCTCAGCCTTCTAGACATCCCTGCTAGAAACCAGAAATGTGAAGGAAACTGCAATGGACCCTCCAAATTAGCCACCCACTAGCTGAATACCACTAAGGACCCCAGTCAATGTAATGAGGAGCAAAAAAACATCCTCTTGGTGCTTCCTACCTGAATTTCTGACACATAAAATAATGACATATTAATAAAATAATTGTTGTCTTAACTAGCTAAGTTTCAAGGTGGTTTTAGTCACACCAATCTGTACCTAGAACACACAGTCTCCTTCTTATTCTAACTTTTTCACATTGTTTCCTGGACAGTGACATTTTCTTGGTTTTCTTCCCACCTCATTGCAACTTAATTTTTGTTTCTTTGATGGTCATTTCTTTGCTGATTCACTCACTCTTTAATGCTCATATCACTAGACTCAGTCTTTGACCCTCTTTTCTTTCTATCTGTCTTCCAATTTTTTGATGATCTGATGTAGTTTCACAGTTTTAAATGTCATCCGTGTGCTAATGAGTACCAAATGAGATGGTATGAGATATGAGATATTAAGACTCTCATATCTAACTGCCTAGTCAACCTTCCATTAGCATTTCCTGTAGACAAAATCAAGCTAATTATTTCTCAAACTTAACTGCAAATCTTCCCTCAAAATTCTGTTTCCTACCAGTATCCCTCATTTCAGTGACCATAGGACAACCATATAATTTGTCATTTAAACTAGTTGCTTTCAAAGTAAAAGGCATACTATATTAGATTACAGGCACAAATTGGGATGGAGGAAACTGGGATGTAGGGTTAACCTGGAAATCCATGGTTCAATGTTCAGATAAAAAACAAACAAACAACTTGGAGTCACTTCTGACTTTTTCTTTCTCTTACAAACACCACTTAATCCTTCCCCAACTATTATAGTCACGCTTTTGTGCAAAAGCCTGTCTCCCAATTTTACTCACACTCAGAGCCAATGTCTTAATACAAGCTACAATACAATTCCTGTGCTGGCTCCCTCACATCTCTTCTATATTTTTAACTTTTCTTCCCCTCACTCAGGCTGTTCTAGCTATATTGGCCTCTTTGCCTTAGGGCCTTTGCAGTGGCTGTTCCTTTTGCCTAAATTATCTTCTAGTTATTATCTAGACTTGCTCTCTGAACTTCTTTTTGTTGCTTCAGTGTCATCTCAATGAGGGCTATCCTGAGCATGCTTTTAAAATTGCATTAGTCCCCCAGCACCCCACCTGACATTCCTGATCACCTTGTAACATTATCAAAAGACAAAATTACAACAAGTTTAGTGATAGATTTAATGTGTTTTTATTCATGAATCACAAATGGGAGCAGCCTCTATTCTACAAAATTGAATAAGATCAACCAAAGGGCGGGGCAGAACAGTCAGTTTTGTAGGGTGGAAACAAGAAAAACGAGTAAAAAAGAGTGATCAGTTAACATCAGGTTCGTTCAAGTTAATTTTTTTAAAAGGTGAAAGTAGAGGGGTCTTCCTTATTGCACTAATTCAGGTAGGCTGGAATCCTGTTTTTAGGAAAAACAGGTCTGTTTTAGGATCTATCGGCTTCCTTAAAGTTTGATCATGTGGCATTTAGTAAGAATGACACCATTTTGGTTTCATCTGTTCTGTTGAGTCCTAGAGCAGGAACTCAGTCGAAAACAATGGACCTACAACATGCTACATAATTTATTTATTGGTTTTGTTTTATTTTATCAGTTATTATTAATAAATGTATGTTCTGGATTTTTCCCCAGTACATTTCAAGTGCCTAATGTGGTGCCTCACATAGAGCTGATGCTAAATTTATTTATACATAAATGAATACATGAATGAGCATATTTTATAAATTTTGTATATGGCCATAGGAATTGCATGGATCAACTCTAAAGTATAGCAACGAAGAGAGTCATGCAATTATTATAGGATTCTTTAATTTTTGAGCCAACATTGTTAGTATGTTTTTCTCATGTAATGTTTTGATATGTGTAAATGTTATGTACATATGAAGCAACATTTGTATTTTCTTTCAGATAGCTATTTTATGGTTTTTTATGATCTTATTCTCTATGTCTGAAATTATTATTAATGCGTAGAGAGACTTGCTCTACCTAAGAGATAATATGCAATCTGTTACATTATGCTTCCAGCTTGACAGTTTTGTCAGCTCTGAGATTTGCAGTCCTGTACACATTTTGGTTTCTTTAAATGATACATTCAACCATTTTTGTCTTTACTCTTTCATATAAAAACTTAAAAATAATTGTCTTAAATGTAAATCATTTTTAAAAATATAAAACTGCTATATCTTTGAAACAAAACCCTAGGTCTTATTTTGATGTGGGTGTGAATAAATATTGTATTGATCTCTTCCAGCCTGATGAATCTGTAATATGCTCTTATCCCAGCAACTGTTATCACTTTATAACAGATTGACTATCATATAAATTGGGTAATTTCTTAGTCATGATTTTAAATGTAATATTTTCTGAAAATCCTGGGTAATCTTGGGTATAAACTGGATAATTTCTTAGTCATCATTTAAAATGTAATCTTTTCTTGGATCTGATTAAAATGTACTTCAGTCAGATATTTATTGTGTGAAAAGAAAACTAATTTAAAAAGGGACATTTACAGATAATTTATAAAAGGGGCAAGTAAGGAGGATGATTTGGTTTGGCTCTGTGTCCCCACACAAATCCCATGTTGAATTGTAATCCCCATGTGTCATGGGAGGGGCCTGGTGGGAGGTGATTGAGTCACGGGGCAGACTGCCCCCTTGCTGTTCTTGTGATAGAGTTCTCATGAGATCTGGTTGTTTGTTAAGTGTGTGACACTTCCTCCTTTTCTCTCTTTCTCCTGCTGCCTTATGAAGTCGTGCCTTGCTTCCCAACTGTATCTTCTGCCACGATTGTACATTTTCTGAGGTCTCCTCAGCCATGTGGTACTGTGAGTCAATTAAACCTCTTTTCTTCTTGAATTACCCAGACTCAGGTAGTTCTTTCTAGCAATGTGAGAACAAACTAATAAAGAGGATTTCACAATTGCTTTCTGGTAATCCACTTTCTACTTATTTAAAATAAATAGAATTCATAAAATTTATTTTTTGGTGTAGTATGATTTTAGAAGACTCCTGAATAGTTGTTAAAATAATGAATAAATAATGTGTCTATTTTTTCTTATGATGTTGTCATTGGTTGTTTCAGGTACATATATTAAGAAATAAAACAATTCATTATTTTTATTTTAGAACAGACAAGTAGACAACTCTGACCCCTTAAATTAGGTGAATTGTGTATATTTTTCCTCTGATACTAATCCATGCTAACTTTTTCAAATGGAATTGATATAGCTGGCTTTCTGATGTCCCTCTAACTAAACTATAAACACTCAAATATATAGTCATTGAATACACTTAAAGAGTAAATACATTGATTCATCTACTGCAGGTGCTCAAAATTATTATGTGACTCATAGTGTTTTATAATTCATATGTGGTAAACCATTAAAAAATATTTGACATAATGCCAAAAACCTAACAGAAAACACCGCACACATAAATAGATATACAGTCCAAATTTCCCCAAGATATGCTGAATGTGATATGAAAGACCAAAATAGATGCCCCGTTACCAACTAAGACAGGTCTTATGGTTAAGAAAACTCAAGTTACCTATAGGTCGAGGGTTCAGGTCTCGGCTGGCATGATAACTTCCTAAATTCCTATAACTACAAGAAAAAAAAGCTTTCTTGCTAAACTCTCTAACAACAGAAGCTATCAGATACCCCCAACTCTGACTTAGAACCCAGACTACTAAAACTCCGATTGGACAGAGGACCTGCCTTGCGCTCTTTTCTGATAAGCAACTGCAGACCTTAAGCCTGTTCAGTCAGCTTATAGAGACTGTGCACAAACTGTCTTTGTGTCCTGTAGTTCACCTTTCGATGTAAAGAGCCAAATTCCACCCCACTGTAATGCTAAAACCCCACCCCTAGGTGAACGACGGATGTTTATGTTACATATATGTTTGCACATTTGCAGGACCCCGTCATAAATATGTATAGCTTTCCCCCAAGCATGCTGAATATGTATGACTTTATTGTCTGATACAGGCCCTGTGAGGCATAAAACCCAATCTGCTCTTTCCCTCTTCAAAGAGGAAACACCTTCAGCCCATGGTGGAGACTTTCTTTTCCCAGATTGCAAACTATTATCACCAACAAAGCTCTCCTTTCTACCATTTAGCCATCCTGGTGGTCTTTTGGACAACATGAGTGATGGAAGCCTTATACAAAAGAGCACAAACTGAATGATTCTAATTAGAGGTAGTTTTATAACAGGCAAAATTTATCTATGGTGGTAGAAAATCAGAATAGTGTTTGTGTACTACGAAGTGCAGGCAAAGATGGAGTGGGAAGGGGCATGAGGGAACTTATCCAATGAATGGCTATGTTTAAAAGCTATTTATATTACATAGTTGTATGCATTTGTCAAAACTTGTAGAAGGATATAATTAACATTTGTGCATTTAATTGTATATAAATTTTACCTAAAGAAGAACTATAAACAAACATTGAAAATTTTAGTTAACAACATGCATGCTAAACTGTTTATGCTGTCGTGATAGTTCATTTTATGTGTCAACTTGACTGGATTAAGTAATACATAGAGAGCTGATAAAGCAGTATTTTTGGGTGTGTCTGTGAGGGTGTTTCCAGAGGAGATTAGCATGTTAGTCATGGGTGGGGAAGATTGCTCTCAATGTGGCCATTCATTCAGCTGGGGGCTTGGATAGATCAAGAAGGCAAAGAAAAGGCAAAAATTCTTGTCTGTCTCTTCTGGAGCTGGACGTACTTCTTTTGTCCATGGACATCAGAACTCCAGCCTCTCTGGCCTTTGGGCTCCGGGACTTGGACCAGTGGCCCCCTGTGCTCTCATGTCTTTAACCTCAGACTGAGAGTTATACCATTGGCTTTCCAGGTTCTGAGGCTTGTGACTTGAACTGAGCCACAACTGGCATCTGGGTCTCCAGCTTGCAGATGGTCTAGAGTGGGAACTTCTCAGCCTCCATAATCACATGAGCTAATTCTTCTTATAAATTCCCTCTCTCTCTCTCTCTTTCCGAATCCCATTTTTTTGGTCCCTCTGGAGAATCTTGACTAATGCAGGTGTTTACTGTAACCTTTTTTAAACTGATATAAATGTTTGTAAATTTTTATAATGAAAAAGAAAAATATTCCTGAGAAAGTGTGGATATTAATATTTCAAATTGTTTTCTCAAAGATTTTTTAGTGAAATTATGCTTTCCTTATTTTAAATATTTGCAAAATCATATTATTAAAGATTGTAGAAAATTCTATATAAGAGTAGAATCTGATTATATAATTTCAGTTTAGTTATATTTTATATTGAGCTTCTTTAATCTCAATTTGTTAAGCAAATTGATTTGGGATCTTGACTAACATAAAAGACAAATTTTTTAGCGGGGGGCAATAAATTGCTACAGAGAAAAAATAATTATATTTCTAAAAAAGTTATATTTGTGGCTTCTTTATGCCAGAATACCACTGTTAACATATACATTCCTAAAATTTGGTATCTTGAACAAAGTATTTTATAGAATCCATGATTTTCATGTAAGTAGCTGGCTTACAAGTAGAATTCTACTGAATATCAGGTAAATATTTGCATACCAATTATGTAAATAGAAAACACTAAATACGAATTTGTTCTGACAGGTCTGACTTGATGCCTTGGCCGCAGTCAAAAAGAATGCACTCAGCTGGGCGCGGTGGCTCACGCCTGTAATCCCAACACTTTGGGAGGCTGAGGCGGGCGGATCACGAGGTCAGGAGATTGAGACCATCCTGGCTAACACGGTGAAATCCCGTCTCTACTAAAAATACAAAAAATTAGCCGGGCGTGGTGGCGGGCGCCTGTAGTCCCAGCTACTCGGGAGGCTGAGGCAGGAGAATGGCGTGAACCCAGGAAGCGGAGCTTGCAGTTAGCCAAGATCGTGCCACTGCACTCCAGCCTGGGCAACAGAGCGAGACTCCATCTCAAAAAAAAAAACATGCACTCTATTAAGTTATTGCTTTTTGCTAGCTTGTTAAAAAGCCAAGGGAAGCATAACTGGACTTATAATTAACTAATCATTTTCCTTTAGAGCGGAAGCAACATGAACATCAGTAAACTAATGAGTGGGCCTAGGATGAGGAGATGGTCAATTTTATGTGTCAACTTGGTTAGGCTATGGTGTCCAGTTGTCCGGTCAAATATCAGTCTAGATGTTGTTATGAAAGTATTTTTTAAGGCATGATTAACATTTAAATCAGTAGACTTTCTGAGTAAAGCAGATTACACTCCATAATGTCTGTGGGCCTCATCCAATCAGTTGAAGGCTTTAAGAGAAAAGACTGAGGCCACTAGGAGGGAGGAATTCTGCCTCTAGACTGTCTTTGTTTTCAAGACTGCAACATAAACTCTTGTTGCAATGTTGGACTTGCAAAATTGGTTGGAATTTTTAAATTTTTTTTTTATTTTTTGTAAAAAATAAAAACAAAAACAAAAAAACAGGATAGATGTGCAGAATGTGCAGGTTTGTTCTGTAGGTATACGTGTGCCATGGTGGTTTCTTATACCTGTTGACCTGTCCTCTAAGTTCCCTCCCTTCACCCCCTACTCCTCCAACAGGCCCTGGTGTGTGTTGTTCCCCTCTCTGCGTCCATGTTTTCTCAATATTCAACTCCCATTTATGAGTGAGAACATGTGGTATTTGGCTTTCTGTTCCTATGTTAGTTTGCTGAGGATGATGGCTTCCAGCTTCATCCATGTCCCTGCAAAGGATGTGATCTCATTCCTTTTTATGGCTGCATAGTAGTATTCCATGATGTATATGTACTGCAATTTGTTTATCCAGTCTATCACTAATGGACATTTGGGTTGATTCTTTCCTATTGTAAATAGTGCTGCAATAAATATACGTGTGCATGTGTCTTTTTCTCTCATCCCTTTTTCTATTATCACAACTCTGCTTTTGACTTCCGTCAGCTTTCACCTAGGTTATTGTAGTAGTCATTCTTCCTCTGCCTTTATTCTAGGCTTAAGTTTATCCTCACAGAGCAATGTTGTTTCTCTTATTACTCAGACCTTAGTCACTTTTCTTTTACTACTTATCAGCAGTATTCTATTTCTATATCCTATGAAGTAGAAATCTTTAGTATGTAATTTTCAACTGAACTAGAAGATAATTTTACCAATTTGTGTTCTAAGTGGCAGCCTAGCATAGAATTAAAGGATGTGGGCTTTGGAATAAGGAAAGAATTTCAATGCTGGCTTTCACTTTTTTACCTCATCTAAATTAACTGGGTAGGATTCATAATTTCTCTGTTTCAATTTTCTCATCTCTAAAATACAGATAACAAAAGTCTCTGTACCTCATGCTGTTGAGAGATCTACATTAGGTAATGAGATAGTGAATATAAGGTGCTTATTTCCTATAGTTCTTGAAACAAGTAAGCATTCAAGAAAGGCCAGCCGTGATTAAGTTAAATGTATTATTTAATTGGAAATACAGAAAAGGGTTTAACATTATAGAGTATTTCAACTTTGACCAATTTAAATGTGTGCTTTTATAAGAAGCAACTTCCTTAAGTATGGACATTTACCTTTCTTTGTAACATCTTTAGATGAACAAATATCTGAAATGTTTTCCCTATAAACTGATTTTCAAATGACTTGTAACTCACTTCTAATATTCTTACTAGTAACAATAGACTTTAAAAGGTGAAAATGTGTAGTGAATAATTATACTTACTTCTGGTTGAGTCATCCAACAAAACACTAGGTAATTTTATTTATTGCGATGACTTAATAATCAGAAAATATGTCTTTGACTTCTGGTTATCATTATATTTATTGAGCATGGACTTTTAAGTAGTTGTTTGAGGACAGTATTTGCATTTATAAAAGGTGATTTTGGTCCTTTTCATGTAAAGTTCATTTAGGTACACAATATGCATATAGTTATATGGTTATAAAAATGTCTAAAAAACTATTTTGAAAAAAAATCATGGCAATATTCCCTCCCTTCTGTTCCTGAATTTTATTCATTTAGAAACATCAGAATTAAATAACATTGGGTATTAATGTTAGTTAAGAATAATGTTCAAAAATAGGGATAAAATTTATGAAATTAAGTCTGGAACACTTTTATGTAACAGAAAATGCATTTACATTTAGAATTTTGTTACTTGATGTCAAAAATTCTTTTAATTTGACAATGCTATGAAAAACTAGGTGATTCCGAAAAGTAAAATACAGTTGTCCCTCTGTATTCATGAGGTATCAGTTCCGTAACTCAGCCTAGGTACCAAAATCCATAGATGGTCAAATTCCTTACATAAAATGGTGCAGTATTTTCAAAAAACCTATGCATATCCTCCCAGATACTTTAAATCATCCTTAGATTATTTATGATACCTAATAAAATGTAAATGTTGTGTAAATAGTTGTTATGCTGTATTGTTTAGGGAATAATGACAAGAAAAAAAAAAGTCTGTGCATGTCCAGTACAGATGCAACCATCCTTTTTTTTTTTTTTTTCCACATATTTTTGATCTGCCATTGCTTGAATACATGGATGTGGAAACCGGGGATACAGAAAGTCAACTGAATCCAGTATTCTATAATTAAATATTGGTTTGTTGTGGATTCATATTTTAAGAAAATTACACTTAGTTTTCTAAAGTGTGCTAACAGCAGTAAGTCACTAATGTGTTATAGTTTTTTAATTGCTCTGTATTATTAAAATAAACCAAGTTTATTCATGAACAAACTTCATCTCAATATTCAATTATTTATAGTAAATGAAAATACATTTTAAAATATGTTGATAGTATAGTTATAAATAAGAGTACACTAAGAGTTGTTAATAAATGTTAATTTAAATCTTATCTCTGACATCTCAGATTATTTCATCTGGTTAGCAATTCTGACCTTGTAAAAGCTTTCCAGCTATAAAGTTATTCGCCACTTTATTCTATTACTTGCTGTCCTTAAGGTCTTTCATAAGTGATGGTTCTGTGTTCTACATAGTACCTAAATTTCATGTTAATTATATTCATCATAAGAAAGTAGATTATCCACAATTTGATGGAGAATTATCTTTCACTTGAGAACAATATCCATAAGCTTTATGTACATTAAGTTAATTCAGAATCATGTGGTAAGAGGAATTTTTGTTACATTTCATACTTGTCTCTTTGTATCTCAGAGTGATTTATCAAAGATCACAGCAGCCAAGCTACTTAAAATGTTTATTATATTTATATGATACCAGACATTTTACTAGAAGAAAGATCATTTGTGGGTTATTTTTTATTCCCTTGAAAAATGAGAGTAGTGCACCTTTTCATAAATAGTAGGTTGGTGCAAAAGTAATTGTGGTTTTTGCCATTACTTTCAATATTTTATTTACTTATTTTTTAATATTTTTAGCGTGAAAAATCACCAAACTTATAAGTTAAGAATTTCTAAGCAGTGGAAAACATCAATAAGTTACATTCTATATTTTAATACGGGGATAAAATTATGATAAGTAACTACTGTTATTTATTTATTTATTTTTTATTGAGACAGAGTTTCACTCTGTCATCCAGGCTGAAGTGCAGTCCTGGAATCTTGGCTCACTGCAACCTCCGCCTCCCAGGTTCAAGATATCCTCCCACCTCCGCTTCCCAAGTAGCTGGGACTAAAGGCATGCACCACCATGCCTGGCTAATTTTTGTATTTTGTGTTTTTTTTTTTTTTTAGAAGAAATGGGGGTTTGGCCATGTTGGCCAGGCTGGTCTTCAACTCCTGACCTCAAGTGACCCGCCTGCTTTGGCCTCTCAAAGTGCTAGGATTTCTGGCGTGAGCCACTGCATCTGGCACAATTATTGTTATTTTTAAGAAATCTAATTCTGTTGCAACATTTAAAGGAATACATTAAAAATGATAGGTTTTAAATTATTTTTTTAATGCTGAGTAATCACTGAGTTTGCTTCATACAAAATACATTCCGACAATCACCAACAAATCTTCAAATAACCAGGAAGGTAGAAGCCTAAATGGATTAAAATCATGGGGTTGATCAGTATTACTCAATGTTCCCATGTACCAACTCTGCACATGTACCCCCTGTATCTAAAATAAAAGTTGAAATTTAAGAAATAAAAACATGGGGTTTAGAGTCAGACTAACTGGCTTTCTTCAGTTATTGTGTGACCTCTGGCAAGTCTCTTAATATTGCAGAGCCTAATTTTCCTCATTTGTAATGTAGGAGTAGAAAAGCATACCTCTTCATGAGGTGTTCTCAGTTAACTAATGTATTGTGTTTAGTGTCCAAGAGAGTAATCACTCAGTAAACATGAGTTTCTTCTCCCTATTATTTGACTAAAAAGAAAAAGCAAAAAATAAAAATTTAAAAAGCAACAGGAAGACAAATCACTGAGTATAAGCAATTTTGGATTATTTTATACTCAGTGATACTCAAAATGGAAACTTTATTTCCTATACAACCAAATTTTAGTGGTGTTCTCTTCCTGGAACAAGCAAATTCAATTCACTTTGAACAATTCACTTGTTCACAAACAATTAAAATAAGTGCTTAAGCTAATCATTTTGCATCCAGGCTGAGACTTCCAGGGTATGGCTGGCATATCTCATTATGTAGTTTGTTTCTACAGTTTTCCCTTTCTAGAAACCACACATCCCCAAAACCTATATGTGGTATTCTTATTCAGGCATGAATTATATTGGTTGATCTTTTCTGTGCAATTTCTATAACATTTATCATATAAAATGTGGAAGGAGAGCTCAGTTCTATCGTTATCAATTAGCATTTATATCCTTGGTGTTTTGGAGGTATTAAGTATTGGGTTTTTATTATATACAAAATACATTTGTCTACACTTCTGATTTTTGTACTGTTGAAAAGTTTTAACAATGCGTTTTTAAGCTAAGAGATGCCTTCCTCAAAATCCAACTGCAGGCTCTCTACTCCATCTTGAAGTTAAACTGCAAACAATATTAATGCTCACAAAACAGTAGGCAATGAGGACTCCCACCTCTGCAGTGAGTAGGGTCTCAAACCAGTCCAGGTGCTCTAAACAACTAATAGTATGTGGCTGCCGTAGTGGTCCCAGGTTACCATTTGCTGAATGAACTGGAGCTTTCCCATTATGTCAGCAAGCATTATGTCTGCCTAGGCAATATGAATGAACTTTCTGTCTTGCTGTCTTGGTTTGCATTTTGGTTTCTTCTCTGAGACTGAGGTCCAGACCATTATCTAGTGTGTTCAGACTTGAAAACCTACCAAGTTCACCCAAAATCTGATGTAGCTTGGATGTTTGTTTCTATCCAAATTTCATGTTGAATTGTAATCAGCAATGCTGGAGATGGGGCCTGGTGAGAAGTGTTTGGGTGATGGGGGTGGATCCGTTGTGGCCTGGTGCTGTCTTCAGGATAGTGAGTTCTTTTTCGATCTGGTGGTTTAAAAGTGTGTGGCACCTCCCTCATCCACTCTCTTGCTCCTGCTTTTGTCATGTGACATGCCTACTCCTCCTTCGTCTTCCACCATGATTGTAAGCTTCCTGAGACCCTCATCAGAAGCCGAGCAGATGTTGGTGCCATACTTGTACAGCCTGCAGAACTGTGAGCCAGTTAAACCTCTTCTCTTTATTAGTTTCTCAGTCTCAGATATTTATAGCAATGTAAGCATGGCCTAATATCATACAAAGTCCTAATCCCCAAAGTTGGATTTCCCTCATCATTTTACTTCTACCACTGGCCGATGTTCCTTTCAAAAATAGACTATTTGCTGTACTATTATCCTCCCTCTGAGCATCTTGCTACTTAGAAATGCCAGCCACTGAACTATATCCAACAGAGAAATCATTTATCAGGGTCAAGTCTGTTTCTCTATGACTTAGAGCACTGGTTCTTGAATTTGGCTGTACATTGGAATCACCCAGGAAGGTTTATAAACTCTTGATGTCTGGTCTCAGACTCAGACATTCTCATTAATTTGATATGCACAGTGGAATTTTCTTTATTATACTTGAAGTTCTGGGGTACATGTGGAGAATGTGCAGGTTTGTTACATAGGTATACATGTGCCATGGTGGTTTGCTGCACCCATCAACCTGTCACCTACATTAGGTATTTCTCCTAATGCTATCCTTCCCCTAGCCCCCCCATCCCCGGCAAGGCCAGGGTGTGTGATATTCCCCTCCCTGTGTCCATGGGTTCTCCTTGTTCAACTCCGCACAGTGGAATTTTTAAAAGCTCAGCAGGTGATTCTCATGGGCAGTCTAGACTGAGAACCACATATTTAGAGTGCTAACTCCAGGCCTCCCCTGATGCCTACCTTAACCGAGGTTATTTCACTGTGCCTTAGCTACACCTTTTCCTCTTCTACCTACATATTCTTCTGCCTTTCTTGGAGATCCTGATTGTCTTTGTAGCTGAGTTTATTTGAGGAGTGACAATAGAATTCTGAGGTTTGTGTTGTTGTTGCTGTTACTTTTGTTTGTTTTTGGTAGATTCATTTGTTTTTGAAAGGTTAGATAAATGGCAGAAAGAATTGAATTATTTCAAAGAAGTTATGACTGACATTTTACTGCTGCTCTTCAGCAAGAAATGAAAAAAAAAAATTCTACCAATTGACAAGTCAAGGACATACAGAGATACATTTTGGGTTCGTTACATTAGCAGTCACCAAAGTAATGTGGAGGGAAGTGTGCAAGATGATCTGCTAGCATATCAAAAAATATTTGAAATTCTATGTGATTGTTTTGGTAGAAAAATAGAAAAAAAATGAAGCTTTAACAATCCATATAGCACATGAATTAATATTGGTGCTCTCGCTTAGTCCTTCATTTACTTGATCACTTGCCTTGCAAGTTATGTGAGAGGAAAGCTCTGCAATGGATTATAGCTTTTGTGTGTACAGGTAAATGGGTGTCAATCTGATATGTAACATTATGGAAAATACTCTCACAAGATGGAAATGGCTTAATACCAATCTCTTAGTTAACTGTAGGTTGAAAACTATAGGTTGAAAATGTTAAAAGATAAAAGAATAAAATTATTTCTAATTTTGGCTTGTGTAAAAACTATTATGGAAATAACTCCATAATTCAATTTTTATCATTATTTTCATTTAATAATAGCAAAATAGTGAGCAAACTAGGAAAATTTTTAATAGCTGAATTTCTTACTTAATACGATGTCACTGAAAAATTATTATTGTGAATTACTTATCGAATACCAATAAATGAATAAATGTTACTTTTGTAAGCATTTTATACACTATCTCAGCATATACATTTGATCCCCAAATATAAAAAGAATGTTTTTTAGTTGAGCACTCTCAACATTTTTGTGAGGTATCCACCTTTCAAGATAAACCCAGAAATTCCTGCCTGCTGGAATTCATGTCCTTTTGTAGTCCCATTTCACTTGTACCAGAGTTGGTCAGGTAACCAGCAGCTCATTGTGGAAATGATGGTATATCATTTTCATGTTCAGGTTATAAAAGATTGTGGTAGCCAGGCATGGTGGCACATGCTTGTAGTCCCAGCTGCTAGGGAGGCTGAGGCAGGAGGATTACTTGAGCCCAGGAGTTCCAGGCTACAGTGAGCCATGGTAGCACCACCACACTCCCAGCCTGAGCACTCTCTCTCTCCTATTTCTTGTTCTTTCTCAGATCACTTACATGGGAGGAAGCCAGTTTCTATGTTGTGAGTTGCCCTTATGGAAATGTCCATGTGGCCAGAAACTGAGGAAGGCCTTTAGCCAACAGTCGGAGAGGAGCTGAGCCTCTTGGTTCAACAGATGGTAAGAAACTGAGGCCTGCCAACAACCACAAGAATGGGCTTGGAAGCTGATCCTTTAGCCCCAGGTAAGCCTTGAGATAACTGCAGCTCAAGAAGACAGGCAGCTGGATTGCAACCTCATGAGAGACCCTGAAGTCTTTCTTAACATAATTGCTGGCTTTTCTTTTTTTTTTTTTTTTTAAGAAAAACAAAGTGAAAATATATATTAATAACTTTAAGGAAGTATTAATACTTTTATTTCTTGCTCTATATGTCCTTTTTTTTTTTGCTCAGTTATATTGGATATCAGATGATTTGGGATCTACTTCATTTGGAAAAGTCACCTAATTTAATGTTGCTTCTTCCTCTTTTATAAGATGGGACTTATCATGATTATCCTTTACTGAATACTGACCATTTACTAAGCACCTATCTTATCTTCACAAGAGCCTTTTTGGATCTTATTATCCCCATTTTTTATGTTAAGAAACTGAGGTTTAGTGATTATTTATCAATATGTGGCTAGTAGGTTGAGATTAAACTCACCTGAGTCTAGCTCCAAATTTCTGTTACAACATACAATTTTCCTTGTTATGCATTTTCTTACTGAGATTTCAAGTGTTTTATTAAGAAAATTGGGATTTTGAATCAAATTTTGCATTTTCCAAGAATAGAACGCATACTCTCCAGAAGAGGAGAGTGGATGCCTCACTGAAAAAAAAAAAAAAAAAAAAAAAAAAAGAAGAAAGAAAGAAAAAGAAAATATCAGCCAGATTTCTTAGTGACTAAATCCAAAGTTGACTAAGGTCAAGAAACATCTTGTACTTTTATCAGAGTTAGAATATTTTATACAAACGTGGCGACTTTTCTCCTAATAATATATAAATGTGGAGAGAGGTGTGGGGATTTTCTTCTTTCAGTGTAAAAAGGCACATTAATGTCTCTCACATCTACATTATCCCTTAACATTCATTTTTCACAGCAGCAGGTCTTTGTAGAAGGATCACGTGGTTGGAGTCAGTCAAATGTGGCCTTGAATCAACAAGTTGGTTACTCTGTCTGAAATTCAATTTCCTCATTTACAAAGAGGAGCTAGTAATGCCAGCAT
This sequence comes from Homo sapiens, assembly GCF_000001405.40. NCBI lineage: Eukaryota > Metazoa > Chordata > Mammalia > Primates > Hominidae > Homo > Homo sapiens. Next base: position 83,832,291 of record NC_000007.14, read on the forward strand.
TCAAGATCATTTTGTAGATTAAATGGGCATAAAACAAATAGTAGTGTGTAAAATAGTAAATATTATGGGTTCACAATTCTGAAATCCAAGTACTTTGAAAATAATAGGTGTGAGTGATATGGGGTAAATAATATATTTTTCTCTGTGGGCATTTTGATGAGTTTCATCATGAACTGTAGTCCCAGAGTCCAGAGGAAATATGACGTGAGATACGGCATATGCACCATTTAACTGTTTCAAATATTAAAAATCCTTAATTCCCAAAGAAATTTGGCCTAAAAGTTTTGGGAAAAGTATATGGACATATTATTTTTATTATTAATATTATTAATTAAAATATGGACTAAAACTTCTATGTAAAATAAGAACTTTTATACTCAGTGATAATATTCATTAAGTTTTACAGTGAACGCTCAAGATTTATATCGAAACACTTTGACTTGAAGTAACAAAATTATCTTCACAAGTGGCAATTGGTAAAATTAATATGACCTTTTGAAAGCTGAAGAAACTGAATTATGAAAGACATATGTAATTTATGTAAAATTAAGTTAAAAATTAAGATCACAGTTGAGATTTGAAATCTTTAGTTTACTTTCTTTGTGTTTAGCTCTCTGATTAGGCATCTTTTAATTTCAGCTCAAGTACTTTTGGAAATGATCAGTTTTGCAAAACAATCTTATTGGCAACAAAAAAAATAGCAGCCTATATTTCTAAACATATTTTTTCAGATTAAAAGAAACTAAAATTTTGTGAGCAATTTTTGCATATAACCTTTATATTTGCCATTTGTTCATATGAATTTGCTCAAGCAGAAATTTTTAAAAATACATTATAAGAATATGTGTGGTATGTAAGAAAACATGAACACACACATGCGAATCTATATATCTATGCTTGTTAGCCATCTAGTGGCTTTGAAATAAAATTAACAACAAAAGTAGAAATCACTATGTTATCTTAATTACTACTATGGAATATGTATTGTTTAAATTATATAGTGTGTTCTTAGTTCTTAAACACAATCATTTTGATAAATTTTGAAGTCAAGTTTTATTTACCAAATCTTGCTTTCAGTTTTTTGTGAACTCTGCCTAGTCCACTCCTCACTTTCAATTGACATAAGCAAAGTTTGAAGCACTTGTCATTTTAATTTATTTTCACTCCTTATGGACATCTATGCCAGTGGTACACAAAAGTATTGTCCTTTTGTTTGTTAGAAGACTAGCCTTTCTTGCCACAGGATTGCTATAGAATCAAAGAGCCTAAGGCCTTTGCTGTTTCAGTATAACAGGAATGTAAAATGTAGTCATCATTTGGGATTTATGTGGTCTCCAATCATCAGACTTCTTCATATAAGAAATCACTTCTCATTTTATAGAGTATCCTATGTTTCATGCGCGTCCGTGTGAAGAGACCACCAAACAGGCTTTGTGTGAACAACATGGCTGTTTATTTCACCTGGGTGCAGGCGGGCTGAGTCTGAAAAGAGAGTCAGTGAAGGGAGATAGGGGTGGGGCCGTTTTATAGGATTTGGGTAGGTAAAGGAAAAAGGGGGTGTGTTCTCTGGCAGGCAGGAGTGGGGGGGGGTCACGAGGTACTCAGTGGGGGAGCTTTTGAGCCAGGATGAGCCAGGAGAAGGAATTTCACAAGACAATGTCATCAGTTAAGGCAGGAACAGGCCATTTTCACTTCTTTCGTGGTGGAATGTCATCAGTGAAGGCAGGAACCGGGGATCTGGATGTGTAAGTGCAGGTCACAGGGTATATGATGGCTTAGCTTGGGCTCAAGAGGCCTGACACTATGTACTATGCAATTTCACATATTTTATAACATCAAACAGTGAAAGATAAATGAAAGTATCAAATATAAAGAGTGTTTGGATTATTTTCCATTTTGGAACGCTTACTCTATTGTTGAGTTATTATTAGCCTTGCCTACTTAAGGCCTGTGTAAACTTTTTTATTACTTATTTTGTGATTTGCCAGATTTTGTGCGAGTATGTATGTGTGTTTTTTATAACTTGGTAGGCTTCTTTACATAGAGATGGAAGGAGCTAGAGATACCATGTGATTTATTTAATTTCCTTCAAAGTTTGCCATTCTTTACAATTGCTGAGTAGCTGTATTAAAGTCTATGAAAATGCTGTATTAACACTATGCCACGTGTGTTGAGATGATATAATCTCATTTATTGATGAAATTAATGTATATATTTAAATAAGGTAGAAAAATATCATGGCAAAATCTTTATATTTACTACTGAAAGTCAATCTAACAAAAATTATTGTTTTATCATTTCTAATTAGCTTTATAAACTATAGCTGAAGAGTTGTTTATTTGTAAGTTTTTGTTTATTTTCAGCCATTATTTTTGCAAATTCCTAAGGACTATTTACATGTCCAGTCAGGGTGTTGCAAACAATCTTCTCAATCCATTGAGGAGGGCTCTGGGTCATAATCTTTTTGGGTAGCATTGGTGTGATCAGCTCTATTTGAACCACATCTCTGCGCTTCTACATCTTAACAAGGGAACACAAACTAGTTTCGATTGTAAAAATTTGGATTCTGGGGAAAAAAAAAAAAAACACTAAAACATTTTCTATTTTGTTCTACTAATTGCTATGTATGGGGGGACTCTCTATTTCATTGCTAATTTTATATTTTATTACCTTCTCCCACTGATTTTGGACTCTGCCTCAGAATTATAGTTTTATTAAGTAAGGCAACAGAACTCAACATTTGTTACAGCAAGTTAATGTTTTCAGGTGAGTAAAAAGTGTTATATTCTTATACATTTTCTAAATGTGCATTAATCAATGTATAGGATTTGTTTACTTCTTCAAAATTTTGAGTTGTAATATATTCATTTTCTTGGGGTAACAGCCTAGTATAGAAAGATGTTCTTTGTCTTTCCAGAATGGAAAGACAATATGTCTTGTATTTTGATAATGTTGTTTTCCTTTTTGCTATTTTCTGAGATGTTACTAGATTATCGATACTAGTTGAAAAACAGAAGTTTCTTTGTTAAAGTGAAATGAACAGGTGCCTTTCATGAGTAAAATAAAAGGTCTTTCTTTAACATCCTCGTGGATATGATCCCTATTGTTTCTTTTTTAAATTACATAATGGGAATGTTAATCTTTATATCTCAGTTTAAATTGGTTTTAAGTACCTAACACATTTAAAAGTTGGAAAACCTTAACTACTTCTATTAGGGATTTTGTGTTTAAATTACTTAATCCTTTTTACACAAAACTTGCATGTCATTTCTTGAAAGAATACTGCCTGTGAGTTAATTACATGAATTAGATATTTGTGTTCATGGTTTCTTGGCATTCAATCAAATATTTGGCTAGAAGTATTTTGAGGTTTTAGAAAAAAATATGTGGGAAATAATTTTAAAATATAATGCCTCCATTCAGATGGGGAAGTGCATGGCAAACCCTTACTTTTGCAGATGAACAATAGGATTTAGGACATCATAACCCTATCTAGAAAAAATAAATAAAAATGTAGAAAGTAATCCTCTTGGATGGTTTCCCCTGCTTCTGTCAAAACGTGAGGCTCTTTATCTAATTACAGGAGCAGAAAAGAATATAGAAGAGAAAAATTTGCAACAAATTCAGAATGTTGTGACAGAAGAGAAATAAAATTTCTATCCACTTGAAAAAAATTGCCACAATTTGAGACATAATTTACTCACTAATTATAGCCAGTTGAAATTACTGGTGACATACTGATTGGCAGAAGGCACATTTACAAGGTGTTCAATGCTATGCACTCCCTCTGAGCTAATTAAACCACCTTCAGGCTTTAGCCATGGGCTCCATTTTCAGCAGAAGGATAGATCCAGGCTGCTGTATCTTTTCATTACTCAATGTTCAAACACCTGAGTGCAAAGCTGAGCATTGAGATTGACTAGAGTTGGCAGCACCTGTTAAACATTTCTCACATCCTCTCTCGTTTCATAATAGTTTCAGAAATTCTAAGTGTTAGAATGACATTTGGTGACAGACCATCAGTGCTGTCATCTGGGCATTAAAAAAAAATCAACTGATTATTGACTTTAATTAGCTTGTTATTCCTACTCTAATATTAACTGTAATTTGGAATTGAGGAAAAGAGATGGCACCAAACCCTGTTAGTATCCGTCTGTTTTTCTCCTTGATGAATTCAGTTGTTGATAGCAGTTTTATTATTATAAATATAACATAACTTAAAATGCATGGAAACTGTGTATGTGTAATTTAATGTAATTATGATTATTTTGCTGATGCCTAGAAAAAGAAACTTTTGTTAGATGACATACTGTTTTTATTTAGGAATCTAAAGACAGTCCCTTAAAATGCATACTTGTACAATATTTGGTATTTCTTTAAAAAATGTAAAGTAGGAGTAGGTAGCATAGAGATGTGTCCACTGAAACAATTTTAGATTTAGACATACCTTAGTTTGAATTCCATTTCTTTCACTTACCAGGCAAACAAATTAATCTGTTTCAATTTCCTTGTCTTTAAAATGGGAACAAAATGTTAGAGGTTGGTTTTGAGGACTGCATTAGTTGCTATATAGCACTTATTTCGGTGGCTAGCACATAGTAAGTACTCAATAAGGTTTTTTTTTTTGAGACAGAGTCTCTGTTGCTCAGGCTGGAGTACAATGGTGTGGTCTCAGGTCACTGCAACCTCCGCCTCCTGGGTTCAAGTGATTCTCCTGCCTCAGCCTCCTGAGTAGCTGGGATTACAGGCACCCACCACCATGCCTGGCTAATATTTGTGTTTTTAGTAGAGACAGGGTTTCACCATGTTGGCCCGGCTGTTCTCAAACTCCTGATCTTGTGAGCCGCCTGCCTTGGCCTCCCAAAGTGCTAGTATTACAGGCGTGAGCCACCACGTCCGGCCTCAATAAGGGTTTTTAATGCAATAATGTGATGATATTAAATGTGGTGTAAACAAATTATGCATTCGTGATTATAACTATACAATTACATAACAAAGTAATATACTATGTAATATTAAATATATACATTATAATAAAATATGTCATGATTGCATTCATTTAAAATATAATTACAATGTATACTTTATAGTACAATATAATATACTATTAATATACCATAGTAATAATACAATATAAAATCATATACAGTATATTTTATATATTAAAGTTGAGTCATTAAAATACAATAATATATACTTAATTGTTATTAGTGAGAATAAATGAGGAAAAGCTGGGAAGTAATATAATTTATCTGATTAGTTTTTTCAATAAATTATATATTTTAAGCTTGTTACATACTAAATACCACATTCATTCTGTGAGTAAAATTAAATTAAACTATTTATCTTTAACTCTTGGGCACCTAAATAAGAAATAGGCTATTCAAAATACAGAGGAACAAAATAAAGTATGTTTTGGAACATTTTTCCTTTAAGCTGAAATTCACATAAGTCCCAAATGGCCTCCACATAAGTCCCAAATGGCCTCCAGTCTACAATGTCCTCCACAAACCTAGACTGGATGTAGAGTGACAGTTTGTTCTGAGAGTGCTAACAGTAATTGTGAACTTAACGTCTCAGAATTGGGCCAAGAAAGTGCAGTTACTGTAAGAACAGATGTTCTTTAAGGTGATTTCTATTCTGTGAAGTCAGGAATTTCCCTTTTCAATGTTATTCTCTCAATTTATTTCAGCCTTGTCCTTAAACTAGTTTCTAATACTGATTTCATCTTCTCATCTTTTTTTTTTCTTTTCTCTAAACTCAAAAACAAAACTTTAAGTTGGGTACCAAACTAGTTTCTAATACTGATTTCATTTTTTTTAAACTTTTCTCTAAACTCAAAAACAAATGTTTAAGTCAGGTACAAAATATTCCAATATTAAGTAGAGCTGAAATGCGAAGCATTGACCATTAACAAAATAAGATTGTGTTGACATGAGTTGGCATTGTTCTACTGGTTTGTTGTATTTCTTGGGGGACACTATCACAAATCTTAGCTTTTGACATGATCATCTGATCTTTATTGGAAAAAGTTATATTAGAAATAGAAGAAAATAGAATGCTTTATTCAGAATTTTTAAGTAAAATATTCAATTTCCTTTTCATTTCTAGTCTAAAAATAGCTTCTCAAAAACTAATTTCTAAAAAAATACAATAGTGATCAAATAGGTATCTGATATTATGGCCTATGATCTAGTTGGCAGCTCTTTAACATGGCTGCTCAGTCTCTATGACATAGTTTATTGTAAAATGCAGCTTCTTACCTTCAGGAAAATAAGAAAATATTAAAAGTCTACTCCCATGACACTATCACATTCTTGACAGTTACAAGTACCCCCCAAATTTAGATTTAGTCAGAAAAGTGAAAATAGGTAGTTGAAGCCATGTGATTAGATGAGATCACTGCATGAATTAAGGTTTAAAAAGATAAAATTATATTCAGGGAAGAATATTAAGAAATCGCTGAATATTAAGAATGTCTGTATAAGGAGAGTGTCAGCAATGGGAGAAATTTCCACATAGTTACAAAGCTCTGATCTGGGAGTAGTCTTTAGCATTTTGGCCTGTGCTGTGTCCACGGTAATGGATCTATCATTCTCTGCCAAAGGAAAGATAATCAGTATAAAGAATCAGCAAAGTACAGAAAGAAACCTTATATTTTCAACAAAAATCAAATGACAGTAATACCAAGCAATGTATATGCCAAAGATTATGCTAAAGAGTCTATGATGTTTGTCATTCAATAAGAAAAATATTTTTCTAAAGTATTGTTTTTAACATTTATATCCTGTAGAATCTATCTTGTAGCAGTTCCAGTCTCTCTCCATTTTCAAACATCTGTAACATGTTGCTCATTAAGGAACAACACTCTTCAAAGTAATAGCATCAGAACACAAATGTAGCATCATTAATATGAGTTATCAGTATAAGGTTAAGGTCACTAAAAAGTTAAATATCTCTTAAGAAGTATGTATGTTTTGAGTGTTTGTGAAGTATTAAAAACATAAGCTATATATATATCATATAAATAATGATACATAAAATGACAAAAAAAAACTGTATCAAGTAAGTAAGTTAAAACCTTACAAGCTGTGTAAAAATTTAGAGAATCAATGTGTATTCCAGTTGGGAAATTCCTAAATATATATAAAAACAGAAGCCATCTTACTTTTGGGGTTTTCCAGAGAAACAGATCAATAGGATATAAATAGATATATAAAAGGAGATATATTGTAGGAATTGGCTCTCACATTATTATGGAGGTGGAGAAGTCCCACAGTACATTTTATGCAAGGTAGAAACTCAGGAAAGTGGTTGCTTAATTCAGTCCTAGTTTGAAGGCCTGAGAACCAGGAGCTCAAGAAAAGAAAGAGAATTTGCCTTTCTCTGCCCTTTTTCTACTATCAGGGCCCTTGAAAGATTGGTTGATGCCTACCCATATTGTTAAAAGTGGATCTTCTTTACTCAGTCTATTGATTCACATGCTAATCTCTTCTGGAAACACCCTCACAAACACTAACAAAAATAATGTTTTACCAGCCATCTGGGCATCTCTTTACAGTCAAGTTGACACATAAAATTAACCATCACAGTTACTAGAGTTACTATTACAGAAAAAATATTTTAATATAGAAATAACTTTTTTTTCTTTTACTATTAAGAAATAAAGAGCTAAATAAACACTAAAACAAAAAAGATATGAGAAGGCTGATGCACAAAAGAGTAGATTTTTCTATTGTTTTCTCTTCCTGGAAATAACTGACTCCACTTGTAATTTTAAATGGATTACTAGTTGGTGACTCCCTTTTAATAATAGGAAGCAATTGTCATAAAATAAAACTAAGTTATAATATGTTGCAATTTTGAAAATTGTAACATGTTCATTAAAATACAAAAAGATGAAGATCTATATGGATCTACATCATCAGGAAGTGTCGGTCAAGACCTTTTTTTTGTATTGTGATGAGGTTCTGGGATTTGCTAACACAAATATTCTAAGGAGTTAGAAGATGTATCCTTAAATGGAGAAGGAAGAATAGCAGCAGAACTGGAAAGCATTGTGTCTAAGGCCCTTTTATTTAACCAGCTATCACAGGGGTAATCTTCATATCTTACTGTCACACGTGAGCTTTTCTACTAGGAGGTCAGCTGCCACTAATCATACAACATGAAGTTTTTAGGCTGATTGTCGAAGTGAATTTTAAAACAAAAAATAATAAAATCGCCTCTTTAGGGTTTGATTACCATGAACTCCAATACCTGATTCAATCAATAAAGGCACAAGCACACATGAACATACACACAAAATTAGGAAACTTTCAAATATAAAGGCAAAACTTGGATGATCCCAAGAAACCATTCTAGTTTTAGAGCAATACAATATCTTTTTCATAAAGAAACTCTAAAACAACAATTAACTAAGTAATTATATTTCAGAAAAGGGCCACCACCAAATGCAAAGAAAAAAACCATAATTCAGAGATCTAAAAATTACAGTAAAGAAACCAGACAGTTCTCTGCTTGTGATAATAATGAAATACACTTTATTTTTGTACATTGTGATATTCACTAATTTTATTGCATTATATTTACCACACTATACAATATGATTATATTACAATCTTCTTTTTATTTCATTTTTTTGCTTCTTTAATTAAATTTTTAGCTGCTGGATCACAGGAAACACTAGTATATTCCTTTGTATTTCACACGTCAGTTTAATTCTAGCTATACATGCCAGTACCAAATATATGTCCATTGAATACAATAGCCATAATATGGCTTATTAAGCTATATCTTATAGAAGAAATTAAACAAATACGTTTCCCTGATAAAGAAGAAAAAGTTTGCATAATTTATTTTAGTAACCAGGGGAGTTTCCTATAAACTAATCAGACAACTTAGGTAACTACAGATGTTTACATAGCAACAGGTGAGAACGTTTATTTCTAAACAAATATAGCTGAAAAAATCTATTTTAATAATGGATTATAATGCCCATTCTATATGTTAATATTTATATTAAATACAATATAATAAATATCAACAAAGTTTGCCAAACCTTTACAAGCATCAATTCATGATGACAATAATTTTTTTTCAAGGCTCTTTGAAGAGTAAGCATGGCTAATTACACCCCCAAGAATTTTTAACTGATATGAGTCATTATGATAATTTGACAGATAGAAAAATAAAAGGTACAAAAGAGGTACAATAACTCCTGATGTCACCATAGAGGCACTGAAAATACAGAGAATAACATTAGGCCTTTAAATACTGTTTACCATATAAGCAAACTCACATTACCCTTGACAAATGTCTCCTAAAAACTAATCTAATTATTTTTAAAAGTTATATGATGAGATTTGTGAATTTTTATTGACTTTGATGAGTACCCCTCACTATTATATTTCAGCTTTTATGGGAGCTTGAATATTTCAGCTTTAGTTTTCTAACCTTTAATTTTCTAACACTATTCCTTGCGACTGGAAAGCATGGACGATGCTTATGTTGATCACCTCCGGATCTCCATTAACTAGGATGGTGCCTAGGACACTACAAAACTCAACATATATTCATAGACTTCATATACATTAGCTTCAGTTCCCTGACTCTAGCTTTAAAGAAGACTTTTTAAATATTAGTACTATCATTTTCAGTAATGATTTCTATCTACATGATTTTTAAAATTGGTAGAGCCTAATTCCATAAGGAGTGTCCATGTTTTTGCTGGTACTCTTCTTCCAACGCTGCTTCTCTGATTCAGCAACTAGTTTTAGATGTTAAGTGCTTAATACAAAATAGGAATAGAAGTTAAGTAAATAAATATTAACTTCAAAGTAATTCATATGTCTACTTTTCTCTTAGGGTAACAAAATCTTTAATAAAAAGCAGTTGAAGTCTTCTTTTAAATGTGATACCGTTCTTATTCTGTTACCAGAGATGTTTAAAGATTGTATTTTATTATTAACTCAAATGTGCTTATAAGCAAAACATTTTTCTTGTATCCTTGCTGCCATAATCAGTAGGGATAAGAATTTTGTAAAGCTGATGTGGCATTGTCTTATGTCCTCAGAAAGCGATCTCACCTCTGCCATGAAAATACATAAATGTACCCTGGAAAGAAAGTCTACTCAGTGTTTCCATGTTATCACAAATAATTTGTTCAGTGTTTACAGTTATTAACACCACTGAAATAGCTGGGGACTAATTAGCTCAGTTTGAAAATGTAAATTCGGTAAGCTTGACATCCGTTTTAGAAACTGAATTTTTGTCATCAATAAACTTCCTTTAGGGATAAGGTACAAAAATGCATTGAACATTTTCCAGGGCACACCTCTAAGTTAGTGATATCTTTTCCATCGGTGGAGTTTTGCTTGACTTGCATCACAATCCCTTTTGATAGGATCCCTGTAGCATCAATTAGCATAGTGTGCACCTTGTGTCATTTCAGCTACCTGCAATATTTAAAGAATAACTTTAAAAGATTAGCACCCTCAAATAAGAAAGGCAGTATAATGTACTGTCTGAAAGAGTGGATTCTGAAATCAGAATACTTGGGCTTAAATCTGCCTCAACCATGTGTTACCTTGCATAGTGTATTACCTAATGGCCATTTGCCTCTGTTTTCTTATCTGTAAAATGGAGCCAATAATAGTATTTGAGTCATTCTGGAGAGTAAATACAAATGAAAGTGTTAGCCTGGTACATATTAGGTGCTTGATATGGTTTGGCTCTGTGTCACTACCAAAATCTCATCTTGAATTGTAGTCCCCACGTGTCAAGGGAGGAAGCCAATGGGAGGTGACTGGTTTATGGCGGTGGTTTCCCTGATGCTGTTCTCATGATAGTGAGTGAGTCTCACAAGATCTGATGATGTTTGTTTTTTTTAGATGGAGTCTCGCTCTGTCGCCCAGGCTAGAGTGCAACAGCACAGTCTCAGCTCACTGCAACCCACACCTCCAGTGTTCGAGCGATTCTCCTGCCTCAGCCTCCCAAGTAGCTGGGATTACAGGCACCTGCCACCACGCCCGGCTAATTTTTGTATTTTTAGTAGAGACGGGGTTTCACCATTTTGACCAGGCTGGTCTCCAACTCCTGACCTCAGGTGATCTGCCTGTCTAGGCCCCGCAAAGTTCTGGGATTACAGTCATGAGCCACCGCGTCCAACCCGATGGTTTTAAAAGTGGCAGTATTTTCTGTGCTCGCACTTCACTTCTCCTGCTTGCAGTCATGTAAGAGGTGCCTGCTTCCTCTTCTGCCGTGATTGTAAGTTTCCTGAGGCCTCCCCAGCCATGCAGAACGGTGAGTCAATTAAACTTCTTTTCTTTATAAATTACTCATACTTGGGTATTTATAACAGTGTGAAAATGGATTAATACAGTGCTCAATAAATATTAACTTGTTCTGATGATTAATGTAATAATTATTGATGATTCCAGTGTATAAAATGTATTCATAGATGCTTTCAATAATCTGGCCTCTCAGTTTGCTGAATACTTCTTCTCTGGTAATCTCGTCCTCAAACCTCTTTCAGACAAACTTATAGCGGTACTGAAGTGTTTAATATGGTAAACACATGTGACTATTTATTCTTAATGTAAATGCACAAAATTAAATAAAATTGGAATTTTGTTCCTCAGTTGCACTAGCCACATTTCAAATGCTCATTAGCCAGTTGTGGCTAGTAACTATTATATTGCACAGCACAGATACAGAGCATTTCTATTATAACAGAAAATTTTATAGAATAGCACTGCTGTAGACCTTGCATTCAATAATGTTAACTGCTTTCCTATCTCAATTCTATGCATTATACTCTTATCATCACTTCCTATCTTTAAGCTCACTTTCTTTTACAATGACTTCAACTAAGTTTTGACTTTATCATTTCCTCTAATTCATCAGTTCTCAAACTTTTTAGTCTCATAAACTCTACACTCCTAAAATTACTGAGGATGCCTAAAAGCTTTTATTTATGTGAGTAGCATCTTGGTTATTTGTTGTATTATAAATTTAAAGTGAAAAATTAAAAATAATTTATATGTTAATTAAAATAGCAAAAATAAATTAGTTATATGTTAACAGGAACAACCCATTTTAACATAAAATTTAACATTTGGGAGATTGTTATATTTTGCAAAGCAAAAGCAAATTTAGAGAAAACAGTATTAGCATTGTTTTACATTTTGCAAATCTCTTTAATGTCTGGTTTAAAAGATGGCAGCTGGATTCTCATATTTTCTTTTGCATTAAATCTATTGTGATATCACCCCCTATGAGCTGTAAAACTCCACTGCAAAGTCATCAGCAATAAGAGTGACAAAGGCAAATAATATCTTAGTAGTGTTATGAAAACTTGGATCTTCTGGATCTCCTGAAAGGATCTTTGAGAACCTCATGACGATCCATTGAGGACTACTGTTCTAGATCTGACTCTCTTTCAGTGTCCTTCACTCCCTCAGATTGTCTGTCCACTTTCTACCCAGCTTAAATACTTTCTTGTACATAAAATTAATTTCCTTACATATAATTCTTTGGCATGCCAGCTTGAGAAAGTCACAACCATGGTTAAATGCTACTATTCCACAGCTGCATCTGTGCAGATGAAAGCAGGAAAAAGATCACACAAGAACGTGGTCTTATCTCACTTGATGTCCTCTCAGTATTGTGAGGCAGTGATGCTATGCATCACAGACTGTCTATCCCTCACTTTCATCTTTTGCTCCTAACCCCCTATATCTCTTCCCTATGGTCACTCTCAATGACCGATCTCACTGAGAAAAGCAAGCATTTAGGAGAGAACTTCCACAGACTCTTTCCATCTTCTATAGATGCTTCCAACACCTATTTGTTGGTGCATGATCTCTGATTCTATCCATTACTGTGAAAGAACACTCCGCAGGCCTGACTAATCCATCAATTCATGGGAGCATAGATCCTTTCTTCCTTCATCTAAGCAAGAACCTCTCTCTACGATTTATTTTCTTTCCTCTTTACACTACCAATGTTTTCTTTTTATCAGTTCATTCCCATTATCATATAAACAAACTATTGTTTCCCAATTTAAAAACATATCTTCTTTTGACCCAACTTGTAGGAGCTACCATCCCATTTATAACAAAAAATATTCCAAAAGTCACTTGGAATTACAAAAGTCATTTGGAAGCCCTATTTCAAATACCCCTCTCCAATTCATTCTTAAACGCATTCTGATCAAGCTTTCATCCCTGCCTTCCTCAGAATCTGCTTCTGTCAATTTCACCCCCAGGTTGATAAAATCTAATGATTTATTTCTGGTTCTCACCTTAATTGTCTTATCAAAGTATTTAATATGGTTGATCACCTTTCCTCCTTTGATACACACCTGTTACGGGGTGTATTAGTCCGTATTCACACTGCTGATAAAGACATACCCAAGATTGGGTGATTTATAAAGAAAAAGAGATTTCATAAACTCACAGTTCCGTGTGGCTGGGGAGGCCTCACAACCATGGTGGAAGGCAAAAGGCATGTCTTACATGGTGGCAAGCAAGAGAAAATGAGAGCCAAGTGAAAGGGAAAACCCCTTATAAAACCATCAGAGCTCATGGGACTTATTAACTATCACGAGAACGTATTAGGGGAAACCACTCCCATGATTCAATTATCTCCCACCAAGTCCCTCCCACAACACATGGGAATTATGTGACCCACAATTCAAGATGAGATTTGGGTGGGGACACAGCCAAATCATATCTCTAGGCTTCCAGGACATAACTCTCCTATATGCTTTCCTCAGCTTTTGCCATCCTTCTTAGTTTTGGCATACCTAAAGTCCCTTTCTCTTCTCTATGTATACTTGTTGTTTTGTTGACCTCATCCGGTTTTAATATCACCCCTATACTGCTAACTTCTAAATTAGAATCCTCAATCCAAAACTTTCCCCTGAACACCAGATTGTATAGCCAAATGCCCCCTTGACAGTTTCACTTAGTTGTCAAATCGGTATCTTTAATGTGTTCCAAATGAATTACTGATCTCCATTCACAGACTTTCCCATCTCAGTTGATAGCAAATCCGCTCTTGACAATGCTCAGACCATAGGCTTTAGAATTAATAGTACCCTTTCTTTTTATCCCTCACCCAGTCTATTATAAAATCCTAATGACTCTACTAAAATGTGGCTAGTGAGACTGAGGAACTGAATTTTAAATTCTATTTCATTTTAATTAATTTAAATTTAATATTCACCTATAGCTGGTGGTTAAACATTGGGTAGCACATGCCTAGACTGACCACTAAAATAATAAAGATTAAATCAGTATTAGGAAAAAAATAATTGATAATAGTTTTCAGTACATCCAACAGAAAGTAGGATAGAAAAGAAGAAATAATATAGACCAGTCAGGATGAAGAGAAAGCAAAGAAGATTCTTGCATTCTGCATTTACTGGTACATTATTTTTGTCTAAAGTAGTGCCTGGCACATTGTAAGCGTTCAGTAGGTATTGAATAGATATTACTATTAGGTTTTTGAGCCTCCTGTTATTAAACCAAAGATAAAGATTTTGTATGTTTTTGTGTGAATTCTGTTTTATGCTTAATATTTAATCCCTAAAATCAATATTTTATGTCACAACTTAAAAAAATACCATCATCTTTACACAACGATTATGAAAATGTAAGTTTTTGATGGCTTAAAGCCCCATGGTAAGTGTCTTCCTAACATACAGTTCTTTGCACTATATTAAAATGTCACCTACATGTAAAAGTGCTTTACTCCTGAGTTTTGGAATGGTAGATACATTCAATGAGACAGATAATGTCCTCTCAATAGTTGCACAGAGTCTAAGTTTCTTTATTTAGATGACTCTAGACTATGGATAGATTATAGATAAACATATTTTCTCCAACAAAAATATCGTTAGGGAAATTTATGTTTTTCATTATTTTGCTAATAAACTTATTACTATTACTTAGAAGAAGTTGTTTCCTGATTTTTCATGGCTTGAGCATGATAAATTTTATTTTAAGGGATTCATACCAAGATAATTGTCATATGTCAAAAAATACCTTTATTGCTTTCAAAACTTAAAGTCTGTTGACCACCTAAAAGAAAAAAATGGCAATAACCTAAGAAAGATTCTGTCATTTCATTCATTAACATAATTAACTCATGGAAATGCTTTTCTTCCTTGTGTGCTAGCATTAAGAACTTATTTAAATGGGCACATTTACAAATGTCAGAACTATTGAATGGCACAATGTGTATCTTTTACCAAAATAAAAAAATCCTTAATAACAGTTTATAAAGATTCATTGTACAGAGTACATACAGTAATATATATATGATTTATTAAAATGTATTTTTTATTATGACTTTAAATCAAGTTTAGATTTCCCTTATAATTTCTCACTAAAACTGAATGCTTAAAATCCAGTATTCTGTTGGGAAAACATTTAAAATTAGTATGTTAAAATTCAGCATATTTTCCCAGCAAATTCTGGGAAAAAATATAGTAGAGATATTTTATATATTTTTAAATCTTTTGTAAGGCCTACTGTATTGGGCATCTGGAAAAATGAGAATTCTTCTTGTTATATTAATAATTTATTAGTTTCAATTACAAAATGCCAGTGTGTGTGTGTTTATGTATATTACACATATCTCTCTATTTATCTCTCTTTTTCTAACTCTCCTGCAAAATCCACTTTGTAAAGTTAAAAATTCAATCCATGACCTACTTTTTTATTATATTCAACATCAGATTCACAATTCTGTGAAACAAAATGTAGAATATTCCTCATTGGAGAATAGAAAGATAGAAACCATTTCTCTTGACTTAAATAAATGTAAAGCTCCTTATAAGTCTCAATGTGGATCAGATCGTCTGGGCTGTAAATTATCCTAAGAAAATAAAGTTAATGTCTGTTGAAACTGAATCATGTTTTACTTAACAACTTGCTTAACTTACTCCTCACATGAGACAAATAGCAGTCTATTCTCACCTCTTGTTCCTTTATGACATTTCTAACGATTATTTTTAAAATTCTAATATGTACAAGTTCATAGAGAATTTCACCTTTTCAACCTTATGACATTCAATTCCTGTTTAATTTTTAAAAATTCTTGATGCGTAGCCATAATCTACTGTAATTAATTTCATTCCATTTCTAGAAGAAAATAGGAATAAAAATAACAGCTTCTTCAATCATGAACAGTAGGAATTTCTGGAATTTGTTGATGTGATGGTGTTGCCAGGCTGACCTAACAATTTTAAAGTAGAGTCCTTGCTTATATTGGAGCCTAATCCAGGCAGGTGTAACTCCACTCCCATCCACACGTGTTCATCTACTCACTCTTAAGAAATGTGTCATTTTGGCCTTGTTTAGATTTATATGCATATGCTTCAAAAATAAATTTTAGAGCTCGAATATAACTTTGTTCTTTATAGAAACAAATGAATGTGATGTTAAAATAAGGTTTCACTGAATCACATATACTTGTAAGCCTCAATAGGAATTTACCCAAAATATCAGTATAAATTTTATGAAATATTAGGCTCCTACAACATAGTAAATTAAGTAAACTTAGACTAAAATTTCATATTATAACCAACATTGACCAAAGCAAATGAGAATAGTCAAGGTGCATTTGTTAAAGCACATCTGCAATTTCACATTCAGCTTTAGATGTCACTTCTAAAGTTCTGTGTACACATTAGAATTAATTAGAAAACAGTGACAGGGAAAACGAAATGACTCCAAATGAAATCAATTTATGTATTATTTATACACCTTTCTTCTGTTTTGTCCTAAAATTATTTTGAGGTAGCTTATACAGATACATGTAAGAGGTAGAAATTCAGATAGAATGAAAAATCAAGAGCAAGAGAAAAACAAAAATGTGCAGTGCTTATGTAGTAATGTAAGTTTTAACAACTCCATACAGTGTTGTGGATACATGGTCGTATTCTAGAGTTTCCTGGCATCCACTTAGAAAACATGATTATGAACCTGACTCATGTTGTCCTAAAAATAAAATGAAATGCACGCAAATTACTGAGGCTCTGTGTTCTGGCCCTAGGCCTGAAAGCAATTATTCACATGGCTCTTTATATTGGGAACACTTAGTAATGTAGAAACAGCGTCCTCAATAACATCCTCTGATAAATAAAATAAGAAGTTCCATATGTTGAGTATGGTGTCTCACAGAATAAGCTTGGGACAAAATACTCTGTGTAAAGAAGTCCTCCAAGGAGCTAAAACCATATTATATAAATGCAGTATTTTCTGCACTTTTAACTTAATTGAGATAAAACCTAACTATCAAAGCATGGTAGACTTGAGACCAAGTCACCAGGGATGTTGAGGAAACTTTGGCGGTGGAGGTAGTGGAGGTAACGGCGTGAGCTTTACAGCACAGTGCTTTTACTGAACAAGTTTGGGGGAGGTGCCCAGGATTTCAACTGTCTATGCAACTTCAGTGAGTAATGGAACCCCTCTGTGCTTGTTTGCTTCTTTGTAAAACAGAGATGATGACCATATTTCTATTTCATATAATTGTTGTAAGGACTGAATGAATAAATACAAGTCAAATCCCAGGAAAAGGGGTCTGGCACATATCAATTGTACAATAAGCATTATCTATTACTTTTATCTTTAAATTGAAAGGGGTTAGTATAGTACACAAATGAGGATAAGGAATGATTTGTTCCACTCTAAGCAGTGGAAATAGGTTAAAATCAGTCGTTCCTCATTCACGGACTTGGTATTTTGACTTCCCCTCTTCGTTAAAATTTATTTATAACCTCAAAATCAATAGTTGAGGAGCTTTTGTGGTCATTTGTGGACATGTGCAGAGCAGGAGATTTGAATTGCCCTGTAAGAGTCGCCCAGTTCTCAGCTGAGAGTAACAAAGCGATGCTCCGCCTTCTTGTTTCAGCTCTCACACAACAGAGTCCTTTTCATATTCCAGTTACTGTGACACTTTCCACACTTTTGTGCTTTTTCTTGGTGATTTTACTGTTTAAAATGGCCCCTGAGAGTAGTCTGGAAGTGCTGGGTAGTGTCCCTAAGTGCAAGAAGGCTGTGATGTGTCTTTGGAAAAAAGAGCACTGGGAGGAAGGCAAAAAGAATGAAAGTGAGGCAATCAAGAGTCAGGAGGCTGAGCTGCTTCAAGAATTAGTGTGTCTGTAGTTGTGATGTAGAAACATACAATGAATGACCATTTATGCCTGATTCTGTAAAGAGGAAGCAAGCAAGATTCATGTTCAAGGCGTGAATCTAATAGCTGTAAAAAAAAGTAAGACAATTATAGAAAATGAGTGTCATTTCTTCAGAGTAAAAATAATGGGGAATTATACAATATTTAAGATTAATGCTTGGTTTTTATTTATTTTTAAAGTTTGGCCAGAACTATTGCTAGCTGTTTTTATTGTTTTCATGCTTACCTGATGTCTCAAGTATGTGTATTTATGTCTGTCATGGCAAGTTGAATTTACCTAATTTTACATACAGTATCTACAATATGACAAACTTCTACTGTAACAAGGTCTTCATCAATGAGTTTCTATTTTGTTTAAGAGAACCTGTTATATTTGGCATAGTCATAAAGTCAAACTAAGTTTATTGAGCTTGCTGTAAAACACTTTATACCCAGCACTGGTTCTGTTGAGAAGAAAGAATTACCAAATTATATAAATATTGTAGCTCTGCATCTGGTTATATATTCCTAATATCTATTCTCAGCCTAAGCAATGCATGCCCACAGATGAGGAGGAGTTTTGCTCAGCCTGTTGTACTTACTTTCTCTACACCTCTGGTGAGGTGGCTTATGGAGAAATCACTGTTGCATTTTTTATAACTCACAATTCTTGTGTGGTTGCAAAATTGTTTTCCCAGACTGGCCTGCAGTGGCTTGCCATGAAATGGAATGTTAACAAAGAGTAATTGAGGGTCCAGGGTAGGAGAGGCACCTTTTCCCTCTGTGTAAGAAGTACATTTGCTAGAGTTCCAAGGAAATGTGGACTCATTGTTTACAGCTATTTCTCAAAATTGATTGATTTATTTTTTTTTCTCTGCTGGCTTTGTACAAAAAAAAAAAAGCACGTACTTTGGTGGAAACTAATTCTTCTCAACTTTGAATCAAGTCTAGTTACTTTTTAATACAAATGTAAGAATCGTTTAATACAAATATAATATTCATTGGAGTTAGGAAGCAGAATAATAAAATGTATACATTTTATTGTCACCACTGAACTTCAGACCTAGAATATTGCTAACCTTTTAAAACTGCCTGTGTAAACTTCCCTCTTCCATGCCATTTTCTCACCACTGATCATTTTCTTTCTTCCTTTTTAAATTTTTATTAAATGATTCTATTGCTTTGTTTATGTATACACACCATGTATTTGCCATTACGTTATAGAAGTGAGCATGTGCATTCTTCACAACCAAGTGATTCTACTCTTGAATAGATGTGCCAAGATACAGGCATTTAGGTGTTGTAATAGCTAAGGCAGGAAACAACTCACATGTTCTCCAAGAAGACAATACATAAACAAATTGTGGGATAGAATATATATATGAGTGTGTGTGTATGTGTGTGTGTGTGTGTGTGTGTGTGGAGAGAGAGAAAGAGTTAGATTTTGTTTAGTTTTGAGTACAATAAAAATGTTATCTTATTGCTTATAATTCATATCTTTCCACAAACATATTTCTAATATTATGCTGTGTTGTTACAAATAGCTATAGTTTATTTAATTCCACTCAATAATTTCAATAATGGCTGTATAATATTCCATCATTTCTATCCCAGAATTTGTTTATGTATTGTCTTCTTGGAGGACATGTGAGTTGTTTCCTGCTTTAGCTATTACAACACCTAAGTACCTGTATCTTGGTACATCTATTCAAGAGTAGAATCACTTGGTTATGAAGATTGCACATGCTCATTTCTATAAGGCAATGACAAATTATCCTTCAAGATGGCTGTATGAAAACATTCCTACAAGTTGTGTAAAGCAGTTCCATTCATCTACATGAACACCGGCAGCTGGGAACATCAGGTATGTTAATGTTTGACAATTTCCTGGGAATAAAAGGAACTAGTGACTCATTGCAGTCTCAATTTATACATGTCTGATCGTTATCATGGGTAAGTAATTTTCCTATGTTTAAGAGTTTTATTGTTTCTTCCTCATTGAAATGCTTATTCATGATTTGTTTAAATGTGAGCTTTATTTTTCAGAGCACTTATAGTTTCATAGTAAAATTGAGCACAAGGTAAGAGATTTCCCAGTTCCTACACACATGCACAACCTCCCCACTATCAACATTCTGGCTGTTCATCAGTTTTGTACTGTTCTCTAGTGATTGGCATGATTTTTTTTTTTCTGAACAGTCATCTGTTTTCTAGTTTCTGGCTTGTCTTTTCACTGTTTTATGGTGTTTTTTGAAAACCATAACAATTAAAATTTCCTAATTCAGGTGTGTAGCTTATCAATCCTTTCTTTTATGGCTCACATTTTTGTGTTTTATTTGTAAAAGTATATTCCACACAAAAGGCCATGAGGATATCTTCTTACACATTCTTACAAAAGTTTTTCTAGTTTTTCCTTTCACCTATAACACTTTAATTCACCTAAAATGAATTTTTTGTACAATAATATAAGGCTCTAATAGAAGGCTTTTTCTATAGTGAAGTATAGTCCAAGTTTAATCAGTATATTAAATTCTCCCACTCAAAATAGTAGGGCTTTAATAACTTTAATTCTGATCATCTCTTTCTTACATATATGCTATAATGTTGCCACGATTTTATTTCTGTCCTTATTTTCAAATCTACATATTAGACACTTTATATACAGATGTTTCATTTATTTAAGTGCATAATTTTCAACTTCCTTGCTTTCCATTCTAGCATCTCAAATCTTCATTTTTCCTTTAATATATTTTTTTCTAAAGATCATATGAGATGTTATAGGTTATTTCAAAGTGTTTGTTTTCATACTGAGTGAAATGGGGGAGACTTTGGCAGTTTTGGATAAAGACGACATGGTCTTACATGAAATTTAAAAGGGTCATACTGGTTGCTCTGTTGTAATAGAGGTGCAAATAGAAGTAAGTCGGCAATCAGGAAGGAGGCTATTGTATTATCCAGGAGATAAATGATGGGAGCTTAAATAAGGTTGGTAAGAGCATAGGGAGGAGTGAATATATTTCAAAGTAGAAACTATAGGATTCAAATATTATTTTACTGTGTTCTTAAAATATCTTTATGTAATAAGATACAAAAATACCCAAAACCAGTTGGAGAAAAAAATGTAATATTCAACAAATATGTATAGGCTTTCTTTTGGCAGAAAAATATATAGTGGAAGAATTTTTTGCCTTTTTTTTTATTTAGCTCTCCAGAAACTGTAGTCATTCATCATTTCATGCTCCCAGTCTAACCTATTGTTTTTCTATTGATAATTCTGCTTTATTTTTAAACATATTGTGTTATATTGAATTATAAAATCTGCTTTGAATCATTTTATGTTATGAATTGTTTGTTAAATAGACGTTAGTACTCTGATATCTTGAAAATTTAGTATGTTAGAATGTGACTATGGTTTTTATTATGCCCATGGACTTAAGATTTCACATGTAACTAGTTGCTGGGCAAAACTATCTGTCTTGAATAGAAACAATGATAACAATGTGTTTCTGGAACAAATATGGGTATCTTCAGTTTTGGAAAATAGGGAGTTTCCATAGGGAGGTGATTGGATTGGTAAAGGAAAGAAGATAACAGCTTAAGAATAGATCAGCAAGAAGGATAACATTATGACCCGAGTTAAAGTATTCAAACAAAGACACTTCAGTTCCTAAGCTAAGAGAGATTAAAAAAATTAACTCTTGCTGTAAACAAGAAGAATGTGATGGTAATTATAACACTGTGTTTGCAAGAGTAGGTTGAATTGCCAGGAGGTGAAATTGAGGTAAAGCATCAACTTTTTCATTCTTTTTAGATTTTTAAAAAGTTTTATTGTTTCTATTAATACTAAGATAGAACATTTTGAACTCTGTGAGCTTAGTTTTAAAATGTAGAGATCCCACAACTTCAAAATCAACCCAATACTAGATAATCATCCATAGTTTCAGCACTGGAAACAATAGGAAACCATTTACCAAGACTGTTCTGAAAATGTGGAGTGGGAAGTATCAAATTAGCTCTTAATTCGTAACTAGTGGCTGGGTGAAGAGCTGTAAGGGCAGAGAGAATGTCATGGGGTAGAAACAGAATCTTAAGAGCAAATGAACACAGGTGTAAGGTGAATCTGGTGGCTAATACCAAGTAGCAAAATCAGGAGGGGCTGGAAGGGACAAGTGCCATATCATATATACGGGTCAATGATGGAAGTCAAATAATCAAAAGGAGTCAGATATTATTACATAACTACGGGCACACAGGTATTCAAAGTAAGGATCCGGGATATTGAACCAGTGGAAGCCATGGAAAGCTGAAGGTCTGTACAATCAAATGTTTTTTTGCTGACAGATAGGTAGTGTGCTTTGGCTGCCTTTCATTCTTGATTGCAGGTGTTTCTATCTCTGGATTTCAAAGTTTCAAGACTTTTGTCTTACACAAGAGTGTGCCAAGTGTAGCTTAAAAATGCTAAATGCCTTGCACATTATAGGTGCTCAATAAATGTTTATTTAATTAAATATTTATTTAATTTAGTTATAGTATAGCATGCCAATGAGTTGCATGTTCTCATATAACCAAATGAGAAACATGTGTTATTGATCAATAGCTATTTTATGGGAGGGAAGAAAAAAGAAAGGAAGGCAAAAGGAAAGAAAGAGATGTAGAAGAAGAAGGAGAAAGAGGCAGGCAGGAAGGAAGGCAGGTAATAAGAGACTTACATTTTCTAAGTCCGATGTCACAATATTATTCAACAAAGTTTTTTACGTGGCTTCAAAGAGGATAGAAAATATAACTCTGTGGCTGTGAATGTTATAATTTAAAAAGTAATAATTATAATTAATAAAAAAATTAATAAAAGTAATTATAATTAATAAATTAAAAATGTTATAATTTAAAAAATTTTCAGGATGGAATGCTTTTTGTGGATGAATAGATGGAAGGATAACATGACAACAATTATTTTCAATCCCCAGCTGGAATAATCTATAGAATAATGAGGAAGCATGTAGCAGGGACAGGGAAATCTAAACACCAGTGAAATATACGTATATATAATGAGGCAATGTAAGTGTGAATGACTCTTCATACTTCATTTAAAGCAGGTTCACTGTGCACTAGTTACCAATTTGTCTGAGTTTAGTGAGATAGAATACCTACATACACAACAAATTACATGAGCAGATTCATTGCTTACAGATAGTCAGGAAGGGACAACAGAAGCTTAAGATTCATTGCCAACTGAATTCCCCCAGGACCCAGAAAAGCTGCCCAAGGGGGATGGAATCTTACCTTCATGGTCCCCACACGAACTGCAGCTGAGAGATGCCAGAAGGCAGCCGATCCTGAGCTTTATGCACTGGGGTCACATGAACCACGGGGGAAAACCTTGTAATAAATCCTTTTCTAGAGGGAGGCTGGAACAGAGCATGAGGTATTCCACTGAGGTTCTATCTTAGTATGTTGTATTTCCAGAACATTGTACAATTTTTCTTGAGAACAGGAGAGAAGAGGGAGAACTGGATTTGTTTAAGGCCACCTGGAGGAATTTCCAAAGTCTCATGATATAAATTCAAAATTAACTATGCTTAAAAATTGAAATCATCATAAGGCTAGAAGATGAGATGAAAAAATATATAATCATTAAAATGGAAAGGCTTGTTTATGAACCAAAATCCAATTACCACAATAGAAAATATTAATCAAGTATAATTGCATATAAACCTAAACCATCAACAAGAAGAACAGCTAAACGTAAACTAGTAGATCTAAAGAAGACCCAAGAGAACTGCATGGCCCAGTGACCGGAGACCAGAGAAATTTGGATGATTCAGCATATCTAAATGTAGAGAGGTAGCAAAGACCAGGTGGAAAATTGTGCTTTTTTTTTTTTTTTTTTTTTTTGAGACAAAGTCTTGTTCTGCCACTCAAGCTGGAGTGCAGTGGCACAGTCATAGCTCACTGCACCCTCTAACGCCTGGGTGCAAGTGATCCTCCCACGTCAGCCTCCCGAGTAGCTGGGATTACAGGCATGTACCACTACACCTGGCTAATTATTTATTTATTTTGGAGAGATGGGGCCTTAATATGTTTCTCAAGCTGGTTTGACTTCTTGGCCTCAACCAATCCTCTTGCTTTGGCCTCCCAAAGTGTTGGGATCACAGGAGTGAGTCACTGCCTGTGTGCGCTTTCTACTAGATGCCATTCGAAGATATGCCCACAAAGATGGGCAGTGTGTTAGCCTCCTAGAAGTTAGACTTAAAGCTAGAAATTTGAGGAAGAAAATGCCTCAATTGATCAAGATATCCTAATTTAACTAAATTAGGCTAAAGGGATTTTTTGCTCTCAGATAGAATGGGGAATCAATAGTAAATTAAATCCAGATTTTAATTTATTTTTTACATAAGAAGCAACATGAATAGCAAAAAGCACCATAAAGGAGGCCAGAATGCAAAAATAGATTATTTAATTTTACTATATAAAAATTATAATTGTTACAAATATACTACTATATTTGATACAAAGATACAAAACACTGAGAAAAAGCATTTGCAATGTGCAGAACAGGAAAGGACCGATCTCCTTAATGTATTTCAGGAGCTCCTCAAAATCAATAAGAATTAGCATGAAAGCTCTTGAAAATCAATAAGAATAAAGACATTCAACCCCCACTTCTCAAAATATAGGCAGAGACTAATCATGGAAAAGAACTTATGAAAATTCACCCAGCCTTATTATATAAATTAAATTCTAATGCCAATATTTAGCAACACATTTTGTTAATGAATCTGTAGGGAGATAGGTGTTCTCAGATATTTCTGGTGGGAAGTGTAACAGGACTTTACAAACACGTTGGACAATTAAAATTACAAATGTATAATAATTTGACCTAGAATTTCATTCTAGAAATTTATTTGCATGTGTGTGAAATGAATATGTTTACTGCTTTATAATGCAGCATTGCTTATAACAGCATATCACAGGGAGCAATTCCATATCCATTAATGAAGGACCAATGAAATAGAATATGGCATATCAATAAAATGTAACAGTATGAAGCTATGTAAAAAGTCTGAATACATGTTTTAGGTACTAATATGGAAAAGTTTCTCATGTGAAAATTTTA
Source organism: Homo sapiens (assembly GCF_000001405.40). Classification (NCBI taxonomy): domain Eukaryota; kingdom Metazoa; phylum Chordata; class Mammalia; order Primates; family Hominidae; genus Homo; species Homo sapiens. The sequence goes on from NC_000007.14 coordinate 83,857,591, forward strand.
CTACATACCTACCTTTACATTTTACATATTTGAACATGTAGAAGTATCACCTATTCAATCACATTTTTAAAAATTAGAGGTTATTATGTAATAGCTCTCATATAAAACCAATGAAAATTAATTAGAGAAGTATTCTCTTATTTGAAGATCAGTGAAATAATAGGTTTGTTCAACCTCTTCATTACAAAAAAAAATTCCTGCGAATTAAAATCATATTGTGGCACCATTTTTCATCTATCAGAAATGGAAAAATTCAAAATTTGACAACCCACAATGCTGGTGAGGCTGTGAGGAAATGGACACTCTTGTACATAGCTGGTCTGCCAACCCTGCAGCTTTATTCCTACCAATTTTATTTTTTTCTATGAGAGACCATCTCACACTGTAACAGATGAAAATATCAGCTACTTTCTTTCCCAGAAAACACTGCAGCAAACATATGAGCATGGAGACTGGTACAAATAGAAACTAACAGGTTAGCTGAGACTCCCTTTTATGTTTTTTTTTTTTTTTTCTAATAGAAAGGAACACACAGAAGAAGAATATTTCTCACTCCATAGGATGCTTTTGATGGTAGGACTGTAGCAACCATACTGGACGATACTGGGACAAGTTAAAAATGCCTTGCATTTTGATTTTGTGTTACATGAAATGGTATGTCTGTAACTTTCAGCCACTTTTAGCTGTCTAGTCTGTTATTCGCAGCTGTAAGCATTCTAACTGCTACATAAATTTATCAGAAAGTAGATCAAATGTAAGAAGTGGAGCAACTTCAAGTAATTATAACTTTTTCACAGGTTAATAGTAGAAATATAGAGAAATATAAGGATAGAGAAATATTGCAGGGAGTAAACATCTCTATTTTCTGTAGATGTGTTTTGCCTAGCTTTAGCAATGATATTCCTTACTTATGTGTGGTTTATGTACATATGGTTTTAATATTTAATCACATGAAATTTGTGGGCATAACGAATGTTGATATAGTTTACTGAAAGAATGCAGAATTCAAGAAAATCACTTCTCAATGAGCAATGATGATATTGAGGTGAGTCTCTTTTATATCTTTGTTGATTTTATTTCTTTCAGATGTCAGCACCTCTTTGGGATTTGGACTCTTAAAACTCATGATCACTCAGAATAGAATCATACTACTGGTATCTCCTAAGCTATTCAGTGATCAGCTATTGGCTTATGAAAATTGAATCCGTCTATGAAACTCCTACAAAATTATTACTCCCTTATTACTACTACCTAGCAAACACAATTTGTTTTTAGGTTTTCAAGTCTATACTTTAAGGTAATACCAGAGTATTTTTTCTCCAAATGAAGTCATATGAACAAGTGGTGGATTGCTAAGGAATTTGTACATAACAAATACATTAATAGAATTTACGAAGATAAATATAGGTAAAGATTTCTAGTAACAACGACAGAATCAATTCAAATCAAAGAGCTGATTGAGATTATTAACTTACTAGACTACAAATAACTCTAATTTTTTGCTTATATACGGAAGTATATGTTTATTCTCATTTTCAATGAAAACATTCAGATGCTACTGAAATTGATAAGTTATACCTAAACCAATATCCAATAAACACTATAAAATTTTAAATTTAGGAGATCTAAAGCCTTACTGATTTCATTATTTTGCTAGTACATCTATGTACATATCATTTTTCTTATATAAATTTAGTTTTGTACTTACTGTGTTGTTATAAATTTCTCCCAAACCTTATAAAATCTAGATGAAATTGCAACTATTCTACTTGCAACAGAAATGGCATCTAAGAAGTTATAAATCCTCTGCCAGGCGCGAATATAAATCTAGGCAGTTATAAATCCTCTGGCTCTCACCTGTAATCCCTGCACTTTGGGAGGCTGAGGTGGGTGGATGCCTGATGTCAGGAGATCGAGACCAGCCTGACCAACATGGTGAAACCCCATCTCTACAAAAAATACTAAAATTAGCCTGGCGTGGTGGCGGGTGCCTGTAATCCCAGCTACTCGGGAAGCTGAGGCAGGAGAATCACTTGAACTTGGGAGGCAGAGGTTGCAGAGAGCTGAGCTGGTGCCACTGCACTCCAGGCTGGGCAACAGAGTGAGACTCCATCTCAAAACAAAACAAAACACCAATGATAATAATATAACAAATCCTCAAAAGTATTTAGGATTTTATTTTGCAGAACTGCATGATTATGTAATATAGAATTTAGTGACTAATAAACACTTTGTTAAACATTAAATTCTAAGGTAGCTATTCAAAATGTTTTACTCTATTGTTTATAATGATTTACCTCCTTTTCTTAAGTATTTTAACTAGTGTGAGATGTATATTGCATCTTCAGCTGGAACAGGAATAAATATGTATAGCAAGCTTGGTTGATTTTCTATGACTTAAGGAAACTGAAATTACACGTTGTTTCCAGGAGTCATCTGAGGAAGACAGACATGTTATGAAAGGAAGAAGAAAACAACTAGGGCACAGGAAGACAGAGCTGAGATTACCTGAGCAAAGCATGGTCATATCTAAGGGGGAAAAATAACATAGAAGAATAATGTAGATTCCTTTGAATAATTCTTGGTAATACTGGGGGTGGTGGCCCCCATATTTCATCACATGTCACAAAGCAAAACTTCCGAAAAAACTCTTGAACATGTCTTACTCATTACAGCTTTTATTTTCTAAAGCAGGTGACATTCATCTTGTTCTCATTCTATTCCTGTCCCCAAGGATTTTTCTTTAGTCTTCGTCTACTGAACATCCCTTTCTTTCCCCTCTCATCCTCTCCTTATTTTTGCTTTTCTATCCTGGGAAGGAAAAAATGGCTCAGCCATGAGTCCAATTTAGACAATGCATTTCTTCTAACGTGGCTCTTGAAAGAGTGTGTACACTTCTTGGGGGATGGGAAAATCTCAATGCTTCCTGCTATATGTGTCTTATATATGTCTGAATTAGACATGTAAGATATATGTCTTATACATGTCTAATCTATATTGCATGCCTACTATGTACCTAACACTGATTTGACAAGGATAATTCACAGGTACCTACACATACACATGTAAATACATACATGTACATACACACACACACACACATATATATAATTTCCCCATTAAATTTCTGATTGAACTATCATTTTATCCGTTAACGCTCATGCGCAAGCACAGATTACATGTTTCTCTGTTTGAGGCTGCTTTCCTCTCAGGGATGTTTTGATGAGATATTAAAGTAATTTTGCTGATATTCCACTTGACCATAACCTTCCCACTCACCATATTCTTTTGCCTTCTGTGAGTTTCAACTTGTTTCTGCCTCTTGGACCTTATTATGGCTCACTTAGATAAGCCTCCAAAAAGAGTTGAATGCAAAGGTACAGAATTCCAGAAACGATTTGTTTGAATACCCTTCAAATAAGCTCCTTGCCTCATTCCCAGCTACTCTCATTTTGCTAAGCCCTGTCCATATTCATGATGACCCTAGTGCCATGTCCTTTCTGTGTGGCTGCATGCCTGCCCAGATAAACTTTCCACCCATGTAAACATATACTGGCTTTAAAATCCCAATGGAGGAAAAAGTTGAAGTTGGTTTTCCAAAACTCTTTCCATTCTTTTTTCAAATTTCACAATGTTTACATAAAAATTTTATATATTTACCATGTAAAACATGATGGGTTGAAGCATGTGTATACTTGTGGAATGACTAGATCTAGTTAATTAACACATTCATTAACTCATATATTTATTTTGTGGTGGAAGGAGATCCTGTCAGTTGTGACATTATGGATGAACCCAGAGGACATCACGTTAAAGGAAAGAAGCCAGGCACAGATAGACAAATATCACATGATCTCACTTATAAGTGGAATATTGAAAAGTTGAACTCATAGAAGCAGAGAGTAGAATGGTGGTTACTGAAGCCCAGGTGCAGGGTGTCTTGGGGAGATACTGGTCAAAGGATACAAAATTTTAATTAGGTGACAGGAGTAAGTTCAAGTGAGCTATTGTACAACATAGTGACTACAGTTAATCACATTTATTTTTACTTATGTTCCTCTTTGTTTAAACATAAAAACATTCCCTTTTGTCCTATTCTTAGCAATAATAAGGAATAATACATCCTATTTCAATTATTTCTCTTTTATCTAAAGGTCATCAATGTTCATTTTCTGTGTTCTATTTGATTTTATCCCAAACCCTCTCTGTCATTTTAAGAGACAGACTAAGATGTAACTAGCTGCATTTCAGTGTATTATTGTAATGTGATTTATTGTCTTTTATTTCAAGTTTGCCTACATTTTAAAAGATAAATATCACAGACATTTTTACATCTAACTTTAAACCACTACTTGTATTCACAAGCATTTAACCAAATCTTTCAACTCATTCTGAAACACTGACTCTCTTCAGGCTATCTTCAAGGAATGTGTGTTCCTAGGTTCTTTTTTTCACCTCCTTATACAAAGCGGTATTGTGTTCAGGACTAGCAGGGCACCTTAATAGAATAAAGCTTTGTTTCATTTAACCAACAAGAACAATAGGCTTCCTCAATGCCAACAGGTGTTTTGCTTCTTCTTCTTCTTTTTTTTTTTTTTAAATCACTCATCTGCTCCAATTAGAAACATTAGGAAAATATGATATATACTACGTTCGGACTCTAAACTTCTCTACAAGTAAGTCTTTATGGTTCCAGTAGTTCATAGAATAACCATAAAGAAACCTCTTTTATTTACCTGACAAATAATTTGTAAGTAAATTTGTGCAGAGACGTGCGTAATTACGGTATTTCTATCATAAGGACTGGTAATATTGCTAATGAGTATAACAATATTTAGCTCTTTCTAATCATTAGCACTAATGCACTTGAATGGTACATGCATGTCAGTATGGAAAGCTGCTCAAATGAGTATCATTTTCTGGCAAAATTGCTTAGAGTAAGTCAGCTTCCTTTCCCAAATAACTTTCTTTTAGTGCTAAGGAGGAAAGAACTCATTAGTAGTCATGGAGCATTCCCTGCCAACTCATTTCCATTTCCTCAAGGTAGAAAAAGGCCCTTAAAAAACCGTTATGGGTAATGATAGAGAAGCAACAACAGAACCATGTCTCATGACCCATGAAAGTATGGGAAAGAGAGTATCAAAAAAATCAGGAATCATTTAAAACAGCTTTATTTGTGCTATATATATATATAATTTTATATGTATATACACACATGTATAAATATATATGTACATGTATATATGTATCATGAAGAACATTTTGGATCTAAGTTTGTTCTCTTTACAGTTGGCTGCATGGTTTCCCAATATCAGTTATTCAAGATTCAATTGTAACTATAATCACCTTCGTCTATTTCTGGAGTTTCCAGTGTCTTATATTGCTCTATTTATTCACATGTCTGTTGGCATGGTTTTGATTATTTAGGCATTCTAATATATTTTTATATCTGCTAAATTAGTCTAACCTTTTTGTCCTTCTTTTTCAGCTCACACTCCTCCCCATCCCCCACTATGTTATTTTTCTAACGTGAAATTTAGGTCATTAAATAAGGTGATATGAATATTATATATATGTATTAAAATGAATCATTAAATATTTTCTTAAAAATCAGTGGATTTCTCTATAATAGTTTCTTCTTCTTTTCTTATGATATGTACTGAATGTTTGTGTCCTCTTAAAACTCATATGTTGAACCTAATTCCCAGTGTGATAGTATTTAGACGTGGAACCTTGGAGAGGTAATTAGGACATGAAGGTAAAGCTTGCACAAATGGGATTAGTGTCCTTATGAAAAATGATATCTCTCTTAGTCTTAGTGAGGAGACAGCAAGAAGGAGGCCTTCTGCAAACCAGGAAGAGGACCCTCACTAGGAATCAAATAAGCTGGAACCTTGATCTTGGATTTCCCAACTTCCAAAAGTGTGAGAAATAATTGTCTGTTGATTAAGCCACCCATTCTATGGCTTTTAAGTAGCAGTCTGAGATGACTAAGACACTTACCACATGTTATAGTTTATAGGAGGTTTTTACTTTATATAACCATTTTTTTACTTTTGAAAAGGAAAAAAATGCTGAATTTTAGTTGATACATACTGAAGTCATGGAAGCATGAAATTCATTCTGGCATCACAATTTAGAAAAAAACATGTTTTTGACATTTTTTATTCTTCTCCTTGATATTTTATGTATCTCATCTCAATTCAGAGAACCTAGAATAATTTAAGTAAAAAAGATACATTAATTTTTGGTTCCTCTCCAAGGTTTAATGCTTCACAAGAAGCCTCTTGAAAATGGAGTTCTCAGTGTTTACCATTATAGGGAATACTTGCTAGTTGTGCAGTGCAATAGCTGAGACTCAGTAAGTGTGCCCTGAGTTGATTTGATTAGCATTACCAGGTTTTTAGAATGTCTTGCCAAACTTTAGCTTGCCAAGCCACTATCTTCTCATCATTTGAAAACTGTCTCACATGAGTTTTGATTTCACTTCCAGATGTGACATAAAAGAGCTCTCAATTTCTTCAACCATGTCCCGCCCTCTCATCAGAGATTTTGAGGTGGTTCTCCTTCAGCCATGTACATACTCTTGAAATGCATAATGATTCTGTGGTGAGCTGTGCATCTCCGAAACATTTTATTATCTATTAATTTTATTTTTTAGGGTAATAAAGTCATCTAACAATGTCTGAAAATTATTATAAACCCTCAGAAAGCAGACTTGATGTAACAGTAGAATTTTATACTTTATTGTCATATACAGTCAGAAAATCAATGAATAATGTTATGTGACTTTGAAGATTAATATTGTCGTAAAGTTAGTTTTCTTTTCTGATCTACTGCCTGTTAAGTGTTTTTTGCTTATGATATACTCAAATTTTAAGCTAAGTATAGACATGTTATGGTATTACTGACCACTAATATGGAGTTGTATAAAAAAACTTAAATTAATTTCCCATGTACATTTTCCTTAATTTTTAAATGTATGTGTAACTTAAAGGAAATATTACCAAACCCACATGGTTTCATTCATTCCTATTTTAATTGTGAAAATGTTCATTCAGAGAACTCTTTGAAGTTCAAGTATATGTTTAATAGCCCATTACAGCCTTTTTATCTTAAAACTAGGATTGCATTTTGCCAAGAATAAACAAAGACAAACACCTCAAGGTTACGGTTCAGCTAGAAATTCCAAAGTATCATATTATCCTCCATGTGTTCTAAACTTAAAAATTCAAAATAAAGCCTCCTTTCCCTAGCACCAACTGTTAATGAACAGTTGGAATATGGTAAGTGTCCCCTTTTCTTGACTCTATTCATTGACTTTGAGTTATCAAATACGTGATTTGCCTATTTATCAACACTATTTTGTATCAGGGACATTATAATCAATTACTAGAAAACAGTCCAACATTTTATTTTGTATACTGACTTAACTGAGGAGAATATGACTTTTTTGCTTATTTTAATATACAGCTAATGATGCCTGTTCAAAACTGTAATTTTTATGCTATAAATATTTTAAATTTAATTTCCATAATACTAAACTCCAAAGATAAAGAGAGAAAAATCCACTCCAGTAGAAAGGACAGTAAATAAATAGAAAATGTTAAAGATCTAATAGAGCTGAAGAACCTTTCGTAACAAAGCATGACACCTTTAAAAATGATAGATATTTGAAAAATTAATTGCCAATACGTCATCAATATGTTCGATAAGATACAGCATATATATTCATATTTCATTTTCCATTGCTTAATCTATTACCCATACTCTCATTCCTATACCTCATGAAGATATTCATTATTTTCCACTAAATTAGTCCTAAAAGGGCAATGTTAGCACCAGAGCTTGCATGGGTGTGGTTTTTCCTTAGGAGAAATACACTATATGGCTAGATGTATTGATAGTTAGATGTTATGCCCTCAGCATGTTGAAATGTCAATGTTATGATAACCATTTCAACTGTTCAATTATGAAGATAGTATAGAAGAGGATAGTATAGAAATAAAATATGTTCAAGTTGTTATCCATGGTCATGACAAGCAAATATGCATAAAATATGCTCAATGTGAGTACATCTGACAAAAAATTGGAAGAAAATGTGAATAGAAAAATCTATTATTTTTAGGTAATAATAGGTTTGCAACATTACATTATAGCCACAGAATTATGTAATAGATGGAGAACATCAGTCATAAACCCTCTATCCTATCTACAAATTTTTAGCAAGAAATTTTTATTCTTATTGATACTATATACCCAAGGCTTATAATAAAATTTGGCAACGCTTACCTATGAATATTGGTGGAAAATTTAGTAAGTGAATGTGGCAGACCTCTTATGTAGCATTTTATCATCTACATTTTTCTTTAATGATTTTGAGATAGTCCATTTTATAAGCTATGCAAAATTGTAATTAGGAAGTGGTACTAATAATGGCAGCTTTTCTAATTATTTTCCTTTATAAGGATGACAAAAATGGTATGTTTTGAAAATAAGGCTAATTTTCTGAAATGTAATTATTCTTTCATATATAAAATATATGTCTTATTATATAATCCTGTATGTATTATCAGAGAAATGGTAAATTATACTATAATATATATTGAGTTTTGCTATTAAGTAAAACACAATTGAATGTCTTTGAGCTGATCCACCTTTCTTCCCTTCCTGAGCGTAAAATATAACATTTTTATTTTTATTTACAATTTTGTTTTCTGTTTCCTCTCTAACATTTTTAGCCTTTCATAATTTATTTTGCAGGGTGTCTTTTTTCCAAGGTAACATAGCAGGGCCTGGCTACCCTACAGAAAGCATTTTGTACATAGTTAGGAAGTTCCATCTAGTATGGGTTTGACCGTATGATGAAAATAGTTCTCCACTTGCATTAGCAGGGTTTTTTTTTTTTTTCCTGAATTTTCTTATCTGTATATTTCTAGCGTACTTGGGCAAAGAGGTGTGGGGTAGGGCAAACATGTTGCACTCTCTATGAAACTCTTCTATTAAGCAAAGAAAAAAAATGACTCTGCTGTGAACACTAGTACATATTGGAACTTTCTCAACTACTAACCACCTAGCAGTTTAATGACTGCAGAAGATAGTTCATATGACATTTTGAACTGACAGTCCCAGAGTAGGCTCATGGTCTGATATAAATGGAATGATGTAATCCATCTCAAGATTGAAAGAATGAGACGCAGGCTCATTGCATGCTATTGAATCAGCTGGAGGATGCTGTATGGAGGTCACTGATTACTTTGCCATGGTAGTTTCAGCCAAGCATAGGGACAAAATCCTGATAAAATTATGTTGAAGTGAGACGGATTGTTGAGAAAGTGTAGGTGAGTATAGATACATGTTGGGATAAGATTTTCTATAAAGGCTACAGGGAAATGGGCAGAGAAAATGATCCTGTGGGGAATTAATTTTTCTTTTTTACAATGTAGTCTCTTACAGTGTATGTATATTTTTATGAAAATGAGCCAGTAGGAAAAATAATGATTTAGGTAAGAGAGAGTGTGTGATTACAGAAACAAAGTCTGGTATGCTAGAGGAGATGAGATACAGTGCAAAGGTAGAGGGAATAGCCATTCATAACAGAAGGAAATTGCATTCCTTAAAGGAGCAGGGAAGTTTGAGCTCCTAGGATCAAGTCCAAAATCCTGATCAACTAGAAGACTTCAAATTATCTTGCCATTATCTTCAGCCTTATGTGTCCTATTCTTTCTTTCACAGTCTCCTCTGCAAAAATGGTGGCCTTCTCTTGGTTCTTTCTATAGTCCCTCTTTGTTCTTCCAACTCAAAGTCTACACATACATTATTCCCATTACCTGGACCAGTTTCTCATCCAAATCTACCTCTTTTCTACCCTCTCTGTTTGTTCAGTTAATGGCAACTTGTGTTTTAAGACTAGACTTAAATATTATTTTCTGAGTGATACCTTTCTGATCCCTAAAGTAGGCTGTGAGCTTTAGTTATGCACATAAACAGCATCCTGTGTTAGCCTACAACGTTCATCTCACTGACACTTATTTGCTCTTCTTTCTGCATTGTGAGCTCCATGCAGATAGATTGTTTTCCCTTATGACATTTCTGTATCCTATAACAGTTGACATATGATAGATTCTTACAAATTTTACAGATTGACTGACCACACTGCCTAATTAAATGAAATTCTATTTTTAGGTTTTTTTAAGTCTTTAAATCCCTATAGCTCTGTGAAATATGAATTTAGTATAGAGGAAACTATTACACTGATGTCCATTGACACTACAATTCAGATGAGTAAGAAATCACTTAGTAGAAAGCAGAGCAAGGTGGGGATGAAACATGGGCTGTATAAGCTCCATGGTAATTGAAGGGATCCGTAAATATCTAAAGTATCAGCTAAGGATTCAGCATGAAATTGACTTTAATGGAGGGAATAAAGTCACTCTGTTCTCTGCAGAAAAAAATACAAATTTCCCCACACTCTGTTTTCAATTCAGTAAAAATAACACTGGTCTTTTCTTTTTTGTTAGCCTGATCATGCTTCAGACTTACGGCCAGTTTAGAGAAGTTGATTACTCTCAAATATGGTTTGGCAATAGCATTTTCCAGCTTGCTCCCATCAACTGAGTATCTGCTTTATATTATTTTTTTCCAAATTTGTTTTGAGCAGTTGAATGCCAACCGATTTTCCAATGTAAATGTTTTTGTTTTCATTCTGTATTTCTGACATAGCTACCTTTTTCAAATTGTCCTTGAGGAATCATTAAGTGTTCAATCTATATTTTGTGTATATGACAAATATTTATTGAGAATTTATTACATTATAGGCATTGTTCTTAGTGGACAGAGTATACATGGCATTTACTCCTGACTCAAGTTGGTATACAACTAATTACAAAATATAATAGGAGGTGATTGGAACTATTGGAAGATTTTAAGTGGTGTGCTTTTAGGGTACAAATGAAGACATAATAAACTGTCTTGAGAGAACTGAAGAGAACTTATAGAAAACTTTGAATTGGGGCCAATGCTAAAAGTAGTAACTCAACAACATATTCAAGTAGAAATGAAGGTATGATTACCAGCACAGAGGTATCAAGTGTGTTTGGATAAGTGACTTCTCTGGTGTGACAGGAACACTGTGTATCTGGATGAAGAAGAGTAAGGACATGAAGCAAGAAAAGGAAGTTAGAGCCAAATTTCACAGGACGTTGAATGGTTTCTAATACTTAAAATTTTATTCTGTATGTGATATAGTGTAATTCAGACTTAACTTTTGAAATGTAACTAATTTGCATTATTGCTTCAAAATTTGGGAAAGAAGGAGCCCAGTTAGACAGCAAGAGAGAAAGAAGGCCTGAATTTTGGAGAAAAGAAACTCCCATCCATTTATCAAACTCCTACTGGGTGCCTGGCAATGAGCTGAATGCTTCATAGAAAGTCTGAGCTAAAACTTTCAACACTTTTATGAAGTGGGCATTTGTACTGAGAAGAGCAAGTAATAATAATAGCAATATTTATGTGCTTATTTCTAAGTGCTCTTCATGATTTTTAACTCACTGAATCCTCTCAACAACCCGAATGGAGTCACAGAGAGAATAACTTACATAAAGTTACATGGTTTGTAAGTGGCAGAACTAGGATACAGACTCAAGGAGCACAGCTCCAGGGCCCTTTCCTTTAACTCTATGTGTTACTGCAGATAAAGAGTCAACATACTGGGCATAAGCCTGTTGTTCTTTATGGGTTAACAGCGGACATCACAGAATCATATGAGATAACGGCAGGAGAAGGAGTGGAAAGAGAAATTATGAATCAGGTACTGAGTTCTTTTAAAGTGATTTTTACTTTTGTTATGACTTTGAAAAATAAAATTAGATAGCAATATCCAGCACCGTGTGTTAGTAAAGAACATGAACTCCAAAGAGAGAATTCCTGGATTGAGTTCCGGCTTTGCCAGTTGCTGTGTGACCGTCAGGAAGTTAATTAACACTTCTTTTCCTATTTCTTGTATGCATTATTGGTGATATCGAGTATTGGTAAAGTACTTAGAACAATGTCCTGAGTGTACCCAAATTAACACTATATAATTGTTAAATACAGTGAAAATAAAATGTCAACTTAAATCTTAATTATAGCAACGATTCTATTAGCTAAAAATCTTAATTTAGAGCAAAAGAATAAAAAGTCTGTATTTATGTACAAGCTCCACTAATTTATGACCTGAGGGGGAGTATATCTACATCTAAGAAAATAAATGGGTCATCCAACAAGGGTAGTTTTGCTGCTTGTTTGGTTCTGAATGGACTTTTCCTCTACCTGGGAGAACTGGTGACTGAACTTCCTGCCTGTCTAAGAGGTTTGATGGAAGTAACCATTCTACAGCAGTGGCTTATTTTCTAGCACAGTTAACAGGCATCTGGTGATTTTCTGCAACTATCTTTCATAAAACGAGCTAAATTTTTACTGGATTGGATGTTGAGATTTTATTATACATATGTAAGTGTGTCTCTTTTTCTTTCTTTCTTTTTTTTCTTACTTAAATGTGACTGCCTAGAGTACTAGAAGGTTTTGTGAGAAGTGGAAAATTTATTAATTTTTATTTTATAAAATTCCTGAGTTTTTCCTTATTTCAGCATGTTTGGAGAAATACCTATGTGTATGAAATAGCCTGATAGGTTTTAAGTGGCATTTTTGTTCCAGAGATTTTCCCTTATGACTTTGATTCAATGAAATCAGCATCATGATGTCTAAGATCTTAATAACTAATATCAAAATAAGCATATTTCATGGTAAATGCTTGCATTATATTTGAGCAAAACATATATTTTTAGAGTCTATTGCAAAAACTAGTACCAACGCAGTGGATCAAGTATGAAATAATCCTTATTCTGTGTAGAATGTGGTGAAATTTACTAGGGCAGAGCTTGCATGTTTATTTTCACTTATTTGCAATTGTCTTCAATATTATAGATATTTTATTCTCCCCAATGCATTTACCTTCCAAAATAGAGCAGGCTTTGGATTGGTAAATAAATCAGAAAAGAAAACCTTGTGTGAATCCAGTGAAGTGCTAAAGCAGCTTATAATAGCCCTGAAAGGATGAGGGAAAGGGCGTTTAAAAATCCTCTGGGGATATTTGACAAGCAGCTTCCTTTCATGCTAGAGAAAAACTGCTTATATACCTGGCTTTTTTTCTCACATGAGTTTCTGTGTCATGACTCCATCTAACATAAGCTGCTTATGCTTAGCAATTCCCAATTTCCTCTTCAAGGATAAAAACATTATATTTGAACATACATATAGGTTAATAAAAATTCCCTATGCCTTTTATTTAGCAAACAAGATCATATATTAGGCAGAGATAGGATAATAGTTTTAAAATATCCAAAAAATAAAGTATTATTCTGATTTGCAATCACCCTTTACAACTAAATCTTAGTGTGAATTGTCACATTGTCTACCATTTAATTAAACCATATTATTTATAGTGAATGAAGTCAATTATTTTTCCATAAATGTTGATATCTTTTTAAAATATTATTTTTTGATAGACTTTTTTTAAACATTCAGTTGTAAGAAAAGCAACATCTGAGAGATAGCTTTTTATTTTTTATTTTATTTATTTTATTTATTTTTTTTCAGACGGAGTCACTCTGTCGCCCAGGCTGGAGTGGAATGGCACGATCTCGGCTCACTGCAATCTCTGCCTTCCGGGTTCAAGTGATTCTCCTGCCTCCACCTCTTGAGTAGCTGGGACTACACGAACGCACCACCACGCCAGGCTAATTTTTTGAATTTTTAGTAAAGACGGGGTTCCACCATGTTAGCCAAGATGATCTGGATCTTCTCACCTCCTGTTCCGCCCGCCTCGGCCTCCCAAAGTGCTGGGATTACAGGCGTGATCCACCGCACCTGGCCCAGTCTTTACCGTTCTAAGGTGGATGAATATCAAAGTAGTCCCCGGGTTAGGAAAAAAAGCGCTTGGTGGATGAGGCTGCAAACAACAAAAGCTGAGAGAGAGCAAAATTATGTAAGAGAGAGCATAACTCAGGAGGACTCAGCCCAAGATGGTGCTGGAGAAACTCCAAGGAGGTTCAAGTCTACAGGCAGAATAAAGGTATTTAAGAGATGTAGCAACTGCTTTGAGGGGTGAAATGTTAGGCAAAACTGACGGTTTAAAAGGATTTTAAAGAAGTTTTGTTTTATATGTGTTCTTTCTCTTCTGTTTTATGAAATCTTCAGAAAAATCTTTATTCCCTCTTAATGTTATTGTAAAGTATTTACTTACCAGTTATAGAAGTAGATTTTTTCTCTCATTTGCTTACTAAGGTATTATTTAAAACAATACTATTTATTTATTTTAAGTGCGCAGTTTGGTGAATGTAGTTGTTATATAATTGTGCAACCATCACCACAAGTGAAAGAGTACTTCACTCTAAAAAGTTTTCTCCTGCCCCTTTCCACCCCATACCCTTCCCTAACCATGGCCCGAGGTCACCGCTGATTCCCTTTGTCACTATAATTTGCCTTTTTGAGAATTTCATGTAAATGGGGCGTATAGTACATAACCTTAGCACAGGGTTTCTCTGTCTTTTAACTACTGACATCTTCTCTATGTTTTCCTCTCTTCTACATCATTGATTTTTACATTTGCATTTATTGTGTCCTTACTTTGGTTTGCATTGTGTTCTAGACTTCTCTTCTTTTTATTGTTTCCTAATGTTTAAACTTAGCAACTGAAATGTTTAAGTAATAATGGCAGTAAGAAGCCTAATGAATTTACTTTCATCTACAATTCTGTGCATTTTCTTTGCATTGTTTTTTGTTGGTTTGACAAGAAACTGAGATCTGTGCAATTTTAAATGGAGTATAAGCAACAGTTTTCTGTAGTTCTTTAACTGGGAGTAGCTTTTTGTGATATTGTTAATCATGTGTGATGTGAATAGGTTTTCATCAAACGCCAAAGAAAACAAGAAAACCTATGGTGGATGTTGTGTTTACCGCAGGGTTTTTCCTTCCGGACCAAAGCTATCATTTCCCCAGCTGCCAGGACTGTTGGCATTGCACTCCTACGTGGAAATTACCTGTGGTCAGGTGCAGCTGCCTCACCTAAACCTACATACTTTTTTCTGGGACAACCCATAATCAATGATATGAGTCATGAGATAATTATACATGTAGGGAGAGAAAAGGTTAATGATACTTCTTTGCCTGAAATGGGGATGGCACTGAAGAACCATGCTAGCTCCAGAGTTCCCCCTGGGCTCAGCTGAAGCACTGTAACTGCATTGTAATTAAACTTTTTTCCTTGCCCAGTCCTGCTTTCTTCAGAGCCTTATAGGTGTTGAATAGAGTATGCTCCCTAATAACACAAATACCCATCTCAAATTTTATTTCCAGAAAATCTGACCTAAAAGAGCTGGTGCCATGTGTGGCTCTAGGAAACAAACTTTAAAATGCCAATTGGGGATTGAATCACCTACCAGCCAGATGATAACAAAGACCCTATCTCTGATTATCAGTAGTGTATCAGTAGCTCTTGATATTCTGTAGTGATGCAATTATGAAAACTCTCACCTGTGTTAA
Source organism: Homo sapiens (assembly GCF_000001405.40). Classification (NCBI taxonomy): domain Eukaryota; kingdom Metazoa; phylum Chordata; class Mammalia; order Primates; family Hominidae; genus Homo; species Homo sapiens. The sequence continues at coordinate 83,873,170 of NC_000007.14, forward strand.
GTGGATGGGACACCTGTGGAAGCAATGTATCGGCTAATGAAATTTCTCAAGCCTTTGAGAGATATGGGGAAAGTACTAAGTACTACAAAATTAAATGGTTGTTGGAAGCTATGGATCTGTTAGAGAAACAAACGAAAGGCTGAATGTCAATGATTGCCAATTTAAGGTGAAATGTGAAAGTCAGAATGTTTCTGTGGATCTCTGTAAAGAGACTTATATTTTGGCTAACAAAGGGTTCTTCCATAATATGAGATTTAATAGCCTCGCAGGGACCCCATGAGACAATGCTCACATGCTACTATGATCGCATTTGGAAGTATAGAAAAAGTAATGGGCTAAGCTAAATATAGAAGAAGGGTTCAAAAAGCTCAATGAGGTGTGCATGCTGGAATGGCTATATTAAGTAAGGTTTAAAAAAATCTACCAGTCTATGTTCCACGGGAGGGCCAAAAGGACACTCCATTTTTCAAAGAAATATGTTAGCGAGAGGAAATCAGTATCACTGAGAAGCTCAGCAGTGGTTGCTCTCTGTAGGCCGGGTTCAAAATAGAAAATGCTGATTAGGAACAGGGCTCCCTGAAAGTAATAATGACCCTGATATAATAGAGGCCAGCTGGCAACATTTAACCATCAGAATTCAGGTGGGAGCAATTACCATAATAGGTTGAAAGGTCTGAATGGCAGTCCATGATTCTGCCCCGTGGAGAACTATTGAAAAAAGAGAACAGTGTTCCCAGGCACAAGATAGTGGGAAAGCAAACTTGAATACTGTGTAAACTATACAGTCAGAATATATCAAAGATGGGAGATGAGGAGGCTGAAGGCAGTCTTTCCAATAAAATGTCACATTCTTATGCCTAGTTCTGAGACTTGAGCCAGCTCTAAAACTGGAATTCACAGGTCCCCATAGGAAGGATCCTGCAACAACAGTGCAAGTGTAGACAGCAATGATAGCCCCAGTGGTTTTCTAAATAAGCTTATGACTATTTACTTGGAAACTATGTACAGAGAAGAGGGAAATAAAAACTTTGGATGTAGGACCCAAGGTCTGAGAGTATACAGATAACCCAGGCCTCAGTGTCATCATGGTGCCACTATTAAGGTAGACATGTATAGGAACTTAGTAATAAACTAAATCCTGACCAAGGTCTGGCTTACAGCGTTTTTGCTAGGTCCACAGATCCACCAAGTGTATTTTTTTTCCTTTCTGATTCCTGAATTTCCCAGATGTTCTGGAAAAATAGAATGAAGGGTAATCTTTTGAAGGTAGAGATGTAAGACCAGCTTAGAGAAGATACCCTGCAAAGATGGGGCACCATTCTCCATGAGAACATGGTATATATTCTATATTAATGAACATTTTTGTATACTATTTATTCAAATAGTAAAATGTACGGGCCCTGGAACCAAAGGACAGAAGTAGCATCACTCCCAGTGACCCAGTTGGGAATCTGTATTCCCTACTCCCTCAACTTTAGGTTCTGTGGGCTTAGAGCAACTGGAGATTATTTTGCATCCCCCAACCCCCTTCCCTCAAGGTACATTTGGCAATGTCTGTAGACATTTTTGGTTGTCACTACTCAAGAGTGATACTGGAAACTAGTGGCTAGAGGCCAGGGAGGCTGCTAAATGTCCTGTGATGTACTAGAGGGCCCACAGCAAAGAATTATCTGGATTAAAATGCCAGTAGTGCCGAAGTTGAGAAAACCTGATCTGGAGAACATGCTTTCCAGAGGGGAATATGCTCTCACCAGGGGGCAGAGTAAGAGTTTAATTGAACTTGAAGCTATAGTTGCCATCCAATCACTTCAGAATCCTGAGCCCAAAGTAATGCATGTAAGTGAAATAATCAACATCCAGATGGTGTAATTGGTCCTCATCATTAGGAGGCAGTAGGGAAGCTATCATATCACAGGACAGGGAGGCTCACCCCTAATACTCAGGTGACACAGTGCACCATTGTTTTTTTGTACTCTCTTGACCAATTTTGATAATAAGTGAAAAGGTGCAGTAGCCATGGCTTGATGAGGGCATAGTGACTGGGAGCTCAGGGGCATCTCACCAGGTATGCCACATAGAGAAACAGAGGTTCTGTCCATGGGCATGAAGAAATAAAAGGAAGGATATGATGAGTTTTTAGATAAGCTGCATCAACAGAGATTATGATCTGTTCCACTCACCTTCAACTTTTAAGTTTCCTGAGGAAATGAGACAAAGCAGAATTTTGCAAAAGTAGTTCCTGGATGGGTTGATTACAGTAAGAAGCAAATGGATCTGAGTGGGTGGTAATAAAATAGATCTTTTGGTGCACTGTTCATTCAGGACCAAAGTACTTATTCTCCCAGCAGAGAGACCTTTGGCTGCTGAGATCTCAGAGCTTTATCCCCTCCCAGGAATCCCCCTCACTCATTAATGCAGGAGTGAGAGTTGCCTCTATGTCAGATTACTCTCAAAGCAAACCACGGGGCAGGTGACCTCTCTTTTGCAATTGTATTACAATTGCATTTGGTCTCTAGTACCCAATCCTGCTTTCCTCCTATCCTTAGAAGTGTTGTTCCCAAGTGCACACTTTACTATATGTCTGCATAAAAATTTTCATCACAGAGTCTGCTTGCAGGACCCCAAACTTAATCAGAATCAATGAAACAATTCTAACAAGTTGAGATGATGAAAGCATTGTCCTGAAAATCCACATATAAGAGGTATATCTAAAAATTATTTGCTAGATGAAATGGAAACATTTTGAAACCCTTTTTATTAACAATGAATTTTCTTTAAAAATTTTAGTAAGCTGGACAGAGAATAAATGAAATAATAACAGAATGGAAATCAACTAAAAAAGCGATAGCAAAGTCAGTAATATTAATACTGAAAGCAAAATTCAACTGCTCTACACTTAATTGTTGATATCAGTAACTAATGTCAGAAGCTTTGAAAGAAAATAAAGGTAAAAGAGGAAGAGATAAGTTTTGTGAGAGAAGATTAAAGATACTTGGACAGAATGTGGACACCAAACCACAAATTCTGAGTAATCACAAGAAGATGATCATAATTTTACTGTTAAAATTTGTACAAAAATTACTAGAAGATTATGGCTACAAATTATTGATGATGTGATAGGATTATACCTTTTGTTTTTTCATACTGTCGCTTGATAAAATGATATGGAGTAATAGTGAAATGAAAATATTAGTTTATTTTTCAAATTCAAATAGTACTTTGTGTATAAACGATTACACTAATATAATAGTATACAAATAATACTATTTGTATTCAGACAGTACTTGTATATATATTAATAGCATGAGGAATAACAGTCTTGCACCATATATATTTTAAAATAAGCAAAACTGCAAGTACAAAGGAAAAAGAGGAAGGTCTAATTAACACTGCCTAGTGTTAAGATATAATAAAAAGGAACTGGCTGGTTTGTAGTGTAATTTTGACACCACTGGTACTCTATGTTGGCAAATATTGGAAGAAAATCAGTGAGTAGCAGTTTTCCGTGGGGGGCTAAACAGGGAGCCCAGAACACAACAAAGCCACTGCATCATATGCAGTGATCGGTGATTCAGTGGATGAGTACACTCTCCTAATATGGGCACATGAGGAGTCAACACTGTGAGTTTGCTCACCCAGGGAACAGATTCCCCCAGGGGAACAGAGAAAAATCTGTGGATAGGGTATGAGTTGTCTTGGGCTATGAACCATCAGGGCAGGCTTAATAAGTATAGACTTGCCTTTGCCTTGGCTATCATGCTAGGCAGTCACAGTCCTTAGGGAGAAGGAAGAGAAAGATGGATTTATATGAACTGTTATTTTAAACTGACAACAAAGTAAGCAAACAAAACAACAATTAAAAACAAAAAAGCAAACAAAACAACAATTAAAAGCAAAAGAGGAAGTCACAAAGCATTTTCTACATGCAAATAGAAAACTAATATTGGTCCAACGAATAAAATGAAAAGGAAACAATAAACTAGGAACACCGTTTGCATTAAAGTTCACAGAGCATGGTTTGAGGGTCTGCTCTGGGTCAGTCAATCCCGTATTAAACTCTCATTTTAGTTTAAACTAAGAGTGTGGCTTTGGGCAGGTATATCAGCTTCTCCACGTCTCTGTGCCCTTGTCTGTAGAATAGAGATAATAATGGTGTCGATATCATGGTCTTATTGCAAGAATTAAATATAATGAAAACTGTAAAGGTCTTGGCACAATTCCTGGCCCATCTGTATTATTATTACTATTATTAAAATAAATGAATGCAGATAAACACAAATAAAGATATATATATATTTGTATATATACACACATTAGGGTATGAAAAATAATTTTAAACATAGAAATTCTCATGGTTAATATGTATTAAAATGTTGAATATCAGTAGTAAAAGATATGCAGTTTAATACTCCTAATTTTTCCTACCAAGTTAGTAAAGTTCAAAAACTGATGGCACAATTTAAATTGCTGCCTCACTGTTAGCAAGGATGAAGTAAAAGAGACATTTCTATATGGTCCTGCTAGAATTATAAATTGGTGCAACCTCTTTACAATTCTGTTTGACTGTATAATAATAGCTGTAAAATAATTTGATCAAGTATTTCATCTATTAGAATATATTTTAAAGAAAAAATTAGACAAAGATTGATGCATAAAGGTATTTATTACAGTATTGTAGGATATTCGAAAAGTGTCAGAAACAAATTACCGTATTACAGATACTGGTTTTTTGTTCGTTTGTTTTGTTTTGCTGGTCTCAGTTTAATAAGCGTAGAATCTAGACCTTGAAAAGGCAGCATGAGTATCACTGTTTGAAAATTAGAATTTCAGGTCACACCCTAGCCCTTCTAAAACAGAATTTGCATTTTAGTAAGATCCCCAAGTATTTTGTACAAACATTAAAATTGAGAAGCACGATTGCATTAAGTTTGATAAACAACCAGGTTTGTTAACTGATGTGGAAGTTCAGGGAAAGCGTGAGAGTAAGACATCACTGTTTAATATGAGTTGGTTGCACTTAACCTCAAAAGTATTTCGTCTGTTAACTGTTTTATCAGAGTGATTAACATATAATTAAATTTCAAGGACTGTTTACAAAAAAAAAAAAAACTTAGCCATGGAATGAAACTGTTTCATAATTACAGAGCAATAACTATTGTACATAATTATTTTCTATAGGATATTTATGACCATGATTAATATGGAAAACATCAAGATATCCACAGAGCTATGAGAATGAACTGAATAGAGAAACTAAGTTATAACACTAACACAAACTACTAGGACATAACTCAAAGCAATGTGTCTTAGTTTTGCTGTATTCGGCAGTAGTAGTAGCAACAAAATAAAGGTAGCTGGAGGCTCCTTGTACCACACAAATTTGAAAAGACCAAGAAGCCAAGAGTAACAGACTTTGAGTCTTCAACAGTTAATCCCTCTATGGTCTATGCATGTTTATACACTGTTCAAAGGAGCATTTGTCATGCATCCCAAAATTGTACCAAAACAAACCCCATTTTCTACTACACACAAACAATAAGCAAAAGAAACAGTATGATGGAATCAGTTTTTAAAATCATTTCAATGGGAGCAAAATATTGTTATTGCATGATCAAAGCTTGGCATCTTTCAGGAGAATAATTAGTACAGTCAGTCCAGATCTGATATTAATGTCATAAAATCTGACAAATCACAGCTGGAATCCTCCTAGAAGAATGAGGAGAGAGGCTAAGAATCAAATGCTTAAAGATTTTGTTTGCACCATGAAAGGGTTTAGAAATGCAGCTCAGCTGAATTTGGAGTCAGTAATTCTTTATTTTATTTATATAAAGTGTTCTTATATTCAAGTTTCTTAATCACTGCTGTCATATGATTGATTTACACAGAGATAATATAATGTCGATTTGATTCTTCACCTCACACCAAAGAATATGCCTTTCTCTAAAGGCAAAGGCTATAAGTGAATTGTGTGTCCCATTCCTTTATTATTTTATGAGACAAAATTTATTTTAAGCTTCTGAAGAAGCTGCCTTCCTCTGCTTGGCTGGGTTCATAGCCATCATTGCAAGTGTTGTGAGAGACTTAAGGAATCATGTTGCCAGCACATTGGCAGAAGATGAGGAACAGAGAAACATGGAAAATATTTTTCAAGAAATTACTTCACCCTAGAAGAAGAGACAAATAGAGACATAGCATGGCTGATTAAGGGATGGTGTAAGTACCACTGTGTACACCATCTATTTTTATACATTTGTTAATCACAAGCAAGAAAGAAACTTCCAAAACATAAACAGTAGAGCAAAGATGTTAGATACGAAATAGTGGCATTAATGTCAAACAGATAAATGAGAAATAGACAATTACAGTAACAATAATTTCATGTTACTTAAAGCCTAACTTTTGAGAGGTTATGCTATTTTTAGAGGAAAGTTATGGCAGCACAGAAAATTGTGGATTTAATTCAGCATAATAATTTATGGTCAGAAACTACTGTGGAATTTTTTTGTTCTAAATTTCTGTAGGGTTTATATAGCTTTAGGTGGATTCCCCTCTGCAGTAACATCAAATATATTTTATTAGTTATACCAACTACCACAGCCTACAGAGGAGCTTGGATATACATACTAAAATAAAATACCCCCTAAAAATATTTGCATAATCTGAGATGCTTTCAAATTATAACTCTACCAGAGATTTTTGGGGTGCCTGCTTTGCTAATTTTTTTCCCAAAAACCACTGAGTAAAGCTCTGAATTCAGAGAATTTGGTCTCCATTTCATGGCTTATTGCTTGAGGATTAGACATCTGGTCCAATCAGAGCCAATTAAATTCCTCTAGTTTCTAGTTTACATTTATTTGGTATGAGAAGTTGCATCTGGCTGTAATGGCTCCTAAATGTGGAGAGTACCTGGTTTTTGGAGTACTTTGGTTGCAAAAAAGAGACCAAAGAAGATTTCCAGTGAAAATATAGCTGGAATATGCCATACACTTGGTTCAATTAGAGCTCCCAAATTCCTGGTTGAGAAACACTCTCCCTTAAGGTCACTGCTAGTGCCACAGCCTTGGCCGCAGGGTCATAAACCCTTTTGAGGTTCCACAGTACTCAATTCCATCATTTAAAAGAAGGTAACAACAACAAAACTAACAAACTATCTTTGTATTGTCAGATTAGTGCCTAAGATTCAAAGTCCCTTTTATGATTTAATTACATATATCATGTTTTGAAAAGGAGCACATATATTTAATGTTTTAAATAACTGCTGAGTTGCTCGCAGTCTAAACCATATTTTATCATTGCAGTATTTATGACAGTCTATTTTAATCATTACATTTATTGCATAATTTTTTATTTCATAATCTAGCATATTATCTTCACAAATATCTAACTTATGCAATAAGCATAATGGTTAAAATAAACTGTCTTAAATACTTCAGTGATAAAACATGATTTAGACTGTGAGAGTCAACCCAGCAGTTATTTAAACTCAACTGTTCCAACTTCTCAAAGACTGATCATACTCAGAATATAATCTAAAATTCTTTATGCGTTCTGCAAGGTCCTATGATCAGACACCTGGATGTCTTTCCAATGGTATTTTCTGACGTATTTCCCCTTGCTCAGATGCGTCGGCAATACCAAGTCACCTGCTATTTCTTAATCTTATTAAGCAGGGTCTATACTTGGGTCCTTGCTATTGACTGTTCCTGGGACTTTGGTCCCTTGAATAGTCAAATGCTCTCATTCAAGTTTCTCCTTAAATGAAATTTCATCATTAAATCCTTTCCTAACAATTCTGTTTATATTAGCATCCCATCTCCATGATTCTCTACCATCTCTCCATCATTCTTTACTTACCTTAATTAATTTTTTCTTTGACTTCTTACAACTTGATATCTTACATATTCAGTTTCTGATTCTTGCCCTAGCACCACACACACACACGCACGCACACACACACACACACACACACTCTCCACACTGACAGGAATGTAATTGCATTAGTCCGTTCTCACGCTGCTATAAAAAACTGCCCAAGACTGGGTAATTTATAAAGGAAACAGGTTTAATTGACTCACAAATCTGCGGGTCTTGGGAGGCCTCAGGAAACTCACAATCATGGCAGAAGGGAAAGGAGAAGCAGGCAGCTTCTTCATAGGGCGGCAGGATGGGGTGAGTGCAAGCAGGGGAAATGGCAGATGTTTATAACACCATCAAATCTCGTGAGAACTCACTCACTATCACAACAGCATGAGAATAACTGCCTCCATGATTCAATTACCTCCCACCAGATCCCTCCCACGACACGTGGGGATTATGGGAACTACAAGATGAGATTTGGGTGGGGACACAGTCAAACCAGTCAAACCATGACTGGTTTGACCAAACCAGTCAAACCATGTCAAACTCCAATTTAAGGATTCTTTTTTCATTGTAATATTCCATACACTTTTAAGGATGACTAAATTATGGTATGCACTCAATAAATATGGGTTGAATGAACTAGCAATATGGCAATAGATTACTACAGATGATTTTTTTTCAGGAGGTAATACTCAGGAACTTTCAGCATCCATGTTTCTTGACATTCCAAATCCTTAATTTTATAGTTGAAGAACCTAATGGTAAGAATAATGAATACTGTGCAGCTGGGAGACTGAATGCCTTGATTCTATTTTATGTTTTCAGGTGGGTTTTCTTTTAGATGATAAATCGTTTTTAATCCACATATAATGCATATATTTAGAAAAACTACTTATAAATATATAAGTAATTGGCCTTCATCTCTAGGCCTTGTGGTATTTGACTTGTAAATTAGGGTGTAGGGTCATTAAAGATGAAGATAATTTTTTATTGTATTTAGTATCTTTGTATTATCAGAATATAGCCCCAGTAAAAATACAGAGCAAGATAGTTACATAGAAAAAAATCTTGTTGTATGTTGAGAAAATTTGTGTTGCAAAATTTTATCAATTGTCAATGAATGAAATACTTGAAAAATTGAGGAATATAAGGAGATTTTGGATAGATGACTTTCAGATACCTTAAAATCTATTTGTGGATATAATATATGTATAGGCAAAGGAATTACAGTGCAAGGTAAGAATAAGACAAACTAATGGTAGAAGAAGCAAGTTAAACTTTGATCTAAGAAGATAGCTTAGAGTCAGGAAAGTCTTTATAGAGGAGGGACAATAGCACCTATATTGGTGATAAAATATAAACATTTTCCTAGATTACCCAAATGAAAAACAATTTAATAAATTAATAGCATATTAATTATTTAAACCTGAAATATAAAAACAGAATACATAATATGATTAAAGCTTTGTAACCCAACCAGGGTCATATGTAAAACTCTAGGTGACCAATTGACTACCACAAAAGACGTTATAATTCCTATTTACTCCAGACATAAAGAGTTACTGCTGGCACAGCTTCTTTTCCTTTGAAAAGGAACACATACCTTTAATGTTTTAAATGCCTGCTGAGCTGACTATAGCTCACAAGTATAGACAATGTTTATCTTCCTAATGCCCAGAAAAGTGATGACATATCAAAATAAAGTGAACAAACAGCCCTTTTTAATGCTTACAATAGTGAATGGGTCTGAGCAATTTGCATTCCAGATCAAACTGAAAAGGAAACTAATCAAAAGCTCCATGGATCAGTGACACAATATGATTTCAAATTTGATCCTTGTTATTCAAAGAATCTGAAAGTCTGTTTGTATCAAGCTGATTATCTATTTTATTAAAATCCTTAATGATCATATGAATAGGGCAGTTGTTTGAGGGACCTGCTTTATTATATATCTACCTGAATCTATTTGCTGTATCATTTCTATACACATTTTTGTTGTCATCATTTAGAAATGCTGTATTTCTTTTGTCTCTCTTTCCTCCTCCCTGCTCCAGACTTTCCTTTGCTCTAACCATACACACATTGGAACACAAGCACACACGTACACAGCACAGCAATAGATGCACAAATGACAATTACTTCATTATCCTTATAATTGAAATTAGCCTAAGGTAAGGCTCAGGCTAACCAGTGAGAATCTCTATAGATACCGAACATAAAGCTTTTCATATGAGCATAACATAAAGCTTTTCATAAAGCTTTTCATATGAAGAGTTAAAAATGAAATCATCAAGTGAAGTGGTCTCTGCACACTTCCCTTCACGTTACAAAAAGGGACTCAAAATGAGTAATTTTTACATGAAAGGAATTTTTTCTTGTCCTTCTTTTACTGTCCCTAATATAATCCTTAATAAATCTGCCTAATATCCCAAAGAACAGACAGTTCAAGAAAATAAACAAGTAGGGCCAGGAAAGAGTAAATCTCTAACAAAGAAATGAGAGATTAAATAAACTTAAATAAAAAGGGAAATGTATAGTAGACTTTTGCCACTTGAAATAGTAAATATCAGTGATATGAAAAATTTGATGTAACTGAATATCTGATTCCCTCACCTATGTGAAAGAAGTAAGTCATTATTGCATATATCTTTTTATTCCACTGATAAAATGTCCAACTCTTTCTGAAACTTATCCTTTGTTTACTTCTCAGTTATAACCTTATGACATGGTTGGAAATTTTATAACAAATTTTACAGTAAAAACTTAAAGAAAGATACAAAGTATTTCCTTGAAAGATAATATAAAAAATAAAGAGCTTGTGCCATTAAATTAATATTTAAAAATTATATTCTAATTATCTTATTACAATTAAATTTCATGTTCCAAAATAAAAAGTCTAGGTGATTACCATACTTAATTTAATTTAAATTAAAAATTGATACTTTATGATAAAAATTTATTTCAGGATTTATACCCACGGAAAATATATTGCGTGTATCCTTGAGACAGCAGTTTTCTGCTTTCTCAAAGAAAGACCTTAACATTAATGGATTTCATATGTTGGGTCCTTTCCTGTATGTACGCAGGCAGTTAGATGTCCATTTTCCAAAACTATGAAATTATTTCAGTGAGTCTTAGACCATCCCAGAACTAATATTACTCTTTTTCTGACTTTCTTTAAAAGACTTTGTTGAGAGGCATAGGAAGAAGGGAGTCTATTTCTATAAACTCGGTTGAAATTCGAAGCTTTAAAGAAGCAAAATCAATTTCCGTCAAATAGAAATAACTTTTGATGACTCTGAAGGGATTTTTTTGTGTGTATGTGTGCAAGGAGCAGGATAATTCCAGGGAAAATTTCAGATTGCCGGCGGAGGGGATACTACAAAGACCTTATATGGACTTCACTGGATACATTTAGATGCTATAAAATTATAGCATTTAATGTGTTAGGAATATCTTCTGGTATTATTCTAACTGTGTTCCCCACATCCAGAAACATTTCTCAAAGATGTTGCCACTGGGGGTAGCAGTGGGATGGGAGTGGAAGTGAGAAAGGAACGCTTGGACTATGAATCTTGCTTCAATGAGAAGAGATCCATTTTATGAACTTACAATTTTGAGCTTTCCTGTTGAGTTTCACTCAAAGAAAAATATGTGTCCATTTTGGACCTCTAGAAAGTAGATGCCGATATGGAATTTGGAGTGTAAGATATTGGTTGTGGGAAATATCTGTGAAGGACAGAGGTGAGAATGAGCAAGCATACATGGAATAGAATAATCTTAGTCCTTAGAGAAGTAGATGCCAAAGTGGGATTAAAAATATCCAGATTTCATGTAAGAAACTTGTATGAAAGGAAATAGGAGGCCAGAAAAGGCTTGTATGGCTATAAAACCATGGCACCAGTCTGATTCTAAAGAAAAGGAAAGGAGGGATGGATGGGAGTCTCTCAGACAGCTGTCTAATCTTATAGAGGATCAGCAAGACCTTTCAAAGAATTCTCAAGTTAAGGTTGGCCTTCCAAAGATACCCATGTCTACCAGGAAAAGGGCTGCCTTAGCATCCACTTAGCATCCACTTAGCAAACACTCAGTCCTTTGCAGGGAGCATCACATGGATAGTGAAGTCTAATTACAAACTTGGGCAATGGATGTCTCATTACAAACTTGGCAATTGATGAGAGCTAAGTGATGATAACTCATGGACATAAAGGGGAATAACAGACACTGGGTCCTACTTGAGAATGGAAGGTGGGTGGAGGGAGAGGATCGGAAAAAATTACTATTAAGTACTAAGATTAGTATCTGGGTGAGGAAATAATCTGTACAAAAAAACCCTGTAACACGAATTTACCTGTATAACAAACCTGCACATGTACCTCTGAACCTAAAATAAAAGCTCAAAAAAAAAAGAAAGATCTTTCTTGAAGAAAGACCTAGGTGGTACACCTTCGTGGCTGCCATAGGATTTCATAGAAAAAACAAGTTTGAAAATGACTTATCTAGTAAATCTCTCATTTTACAGCTTATAAAATTTAACAACTAAATGAAATGACTTTCCAAAATCACAGTTACTTGTTATACAGACAAGACTGAAACCCAAATATCTTTATCCTCTACTCAGAATTATTTCTACCATACTTCCGGGCTTTTCCAATATTTACTTATGCAATAAAACCAATTCTGTGGATCTTTGTTATTCTCACCATCAAAGACTTTAAATAATTACAGGATGAAGAGATATCACAATTTAGACTTGCATTCTAATTAAATTTTTATTTCCCTTCTTTACACATGTTGAAATTGTTCATGAAATTCTCAGAGTTTACCTTATAGACAAGTGTTAAGGATAACATTTTTCAATTAATTTTTAAAAATCAACTGCCATTGATTTGCAAATGAAGAAATAAAGCCATGGTCAGAGGTAAATTGCCTTGCCTGTCTGAACAGCGAGAGACTATTCAGGGTAGTGTAACTCATCTAACCAAGAGAGCATCAAAATAAAATAAACATGATTTCTTTGCATGTGGTTATTTTCATGCATTTAAAGATGGTTCTGTTGGCAAGATTTCTTGCTTTTTGTTAACAACAAGGAAGTCATAAAAATCAAACTGCTGTGTGCAGTGGCTCATGCCTATAATTACCAATTTGGGAGGCCAAAGATGGAGGATTGCTTGAGCCCAGGAGTTAGAGACCCATTCACTACAAAATATACAAATAATTAGCCAGGAGTGCTGGTATGTGCCTGTAGTCCTAGCTACTGGGGAGGCTGAGGTAGGAGGATGTCGAAGTTGCAGTGAGCTGTGATCTTTCTACTGCACTCTAGACTGAATGACATAGTGAGACCTGTCTATTTAAAAAAGTAATAATAACTCATTTATCATTCATTAAATAGTACGTGCTCTTAAAACCCTGCTTCTGTGATTTTTAAATTATGACTTTATAGAAATACTTTATGGTACTTTTTTTGACACTCAAGACAAATAAATACGATGAATGTTAAACGTTTCACAAAACAAATTTAATAAATAAAGTTAAATGAAAAAGGTAGATTTTAGTGCTGTTATTTCTGTGATATTGGGTCTCTCTAAGAAGTTATAGATTAAGGTTTTTCATATTTTCACCTGTTCTCCTAACTTTTTGAATTGTTGAATAGTATACATGTTATTCATTTCTTAACTTTGCTCTTATGTGTATTCTAGAATAATGTTTATAATTTATTGCCAACATAGAAATTATATGAGGGTTCTATGAGGGCTTCTGACTGCATGTTCAGTAATGTCTTTTTCCTGATTGTTTCAGAAGAAAATAGAATGAAACAGACAACAACATAAAATGACACTGACATTAACTGTATCAGAACTGATTTTTAAAATCACAATTATATTTTATATTTTAAATTATATTTGATACACAGCTGTGAAATTTGTGGTATTTTGTATTCATTTTATTTTTAATTGGCACATAATAATTGTATGGGGTACAATGTGATACATTGTATAACGACCAAATCAGGACATTTAACAAATTGTTCACCTCAAATATTTATCATTTCTTTGTGATAAGAACATTCAGAATTCTCTCTTCTAGCTATTTTAAATTATATAATAAATATTGTTAACTATATTCACCCTGCTGTATAATAGAACACCAGAATGTATACTGTATCAGTTGTAACATTGTACCCATTGACCAACCTCTTCTTATCCACTGCCACCCATCCACCCCAGATTCTGGTAAGGGCTTTTCTATTCTTTACTTCTATGAGATCAACTTTTCTTGATTCCAAATATGTGTGTGATCATGCAGTATTTGTCTTTCTGTGTCTGGCTTATTTCACTTCACATAATGTTCTCCAGGTTCATCCACGTTGTCCCAAGTGATGGGATTTCATTTTTTATTGCTGAATAGCAATAAAATGTGGTATATATACCACAATGGCATATATATCATTCCATTGTGTATATATACCACGTTTTCTTTGTTCATTCATCTGTTGATAGGCATTTAGGTAGATTTCACTTCTCGGCTATGCTGCAATGAACACGAAAGTGTCGATACCGCTTGACATGCTGATTTCATTTCCTTTAAGTAAATACCTTGTAGTGGAATTGCTGGATCATATGGTAGTTCTATTTTTAATTTTTTTGAGGAAACTCCATGCTATTTTCCATAATGATAAAAAAAAAACAATTTTATAAGAGATTATGTATAATGTTTTTTCTTTTGTGAGAGTTTTGGCTTTACATTCCAAATCATCAAACAGTAACTTTTAATAAAATACTGTGAGCTGTGTTACACATTATAGCTTTACGAAAGAATTTAAGACTCTCTTTTGGTGCACTAAAGGTTTAGTCACCATGATCTCAGATCTAATGTGAATTTAGATATCATTCAACACAGTTTATTCCCTGTGCATTCCTTTAGAAAATATCCAACAAATTAGCAACCACTTGGGTCAGAAACAACTCTTATTGTTAAAGAACACCTTCATTATGTTGGCTACGCCTATCTGATCTGTTGGTTTTATTTATTCTTTGTGAAGCAATTCAAAATTTTTTCATCCCTTTTTCCACATCGTAGAACTTGAATATTGAAGAGAATTCCCATTTCTCTACACTTTTGTCTAAATGTATGCTAATATACCTTTTCTTTTAAATTAAATATCTTGCTTCTGTGGATTTAAATTCATCCTGAATTTCATTAAGAGCCTAAATAAAGCACATTTGTAAGAAGTGATAGGAGTTTTTATTTCCTTGACTTCTTTACAAACCAAGAATCTTGATGAGAGTCAAAAGAGGTTGGGGAGGTAAGGAGGGGGTGGGAATTTAGCTTCTTCAAATCCTTTAGAATCCAGAGAGAAATCTCTGGAGAAATTGCAGTAGAGAAGGCATAGAAAGATAAGCTTTAAAAGTAACAGAATCTGATAATTAGATTTATTTGGGTCATCTCCTTACTATCATCATAATCTACTTTCTCATTTAGTGTTATTACACATCAGGTGAAATAATGAGAACACTTTTGTAGTGAACAAACTGAAAGTCTGTTAAAAAGTGAGAAATTTAAAAAAACAGAAAAAGTCATTAATTTGTAGCTATTTTAAAAATTAGTTAATATTTGTGCATGTATACATCCTAGTTTCCATTACGTAAATTTAGAATGCATTATGTAAAACTTATATAATAGTGAATGGGATTTTACAATTCTAAATGAAAGGTAAAACTAAAACTAGAGTTTTTTCTTTTTAATGTAAATGTTTTACTTATTTTAAATAATATGATGAGACATGGCTAACTACTACAGAAATTAAATTTAAACTAGCAAATATGAAATCTTCTAAAACCCAAGATTTACTTTCAATCATGTTCTCATAACATCCCTTTACAAGATGACTTTTTAAAGTTATCTTCTAGGAAGCAAATGCATTTGGTTTCAATTGCACAGAAACTTATGGTGAAGTTATACACATCATTTGCAAACATCTCCATGCACAAAGGCATAATATGGTATTTTACCAAAGTGTATATTGTACATACTGCTCTAAATTTTGTTTTCTGTATGCGTGTGTCTTCTCTTGGTGGTATTATTTTAAATCAGTTCATGTGATGATACTGTTATTTGGCACTTCATTCTAGTTAACATTAATTTATATATTTTATTTCACAAAAGTGAAATATTTGCTACATTATTCTAGAGCCATTATGATTTATACATATTTTACAAATCTCACCGGAACAGCAAGAAAGAAAGAAATGCTCAATATGAAGCAAAATTATTTTCTGTATTCTAGCTTTCTACTTTTGTATGCAAAATCACTTCATTCAAAATAACAACTTTGTGCCAAATAAAGTAAAGTACTGGCCGAGCATCATGGCTCATGCCTGTAATCCCACCACATTGGGAGGCTGAGGCAGGCAGATCACTTGAGGCCAGGAGTTCAAGAACAGCCTGGCCAACATTGTGAAACCCTCTCTCTACTAGAAATATAACAATTAGCCAGGTGTGATGGTGCACACCTGTAATCCCAGCTACCCTGGAAGCTGAGGAACAAGAATCACTTGAGCCTGGGAGACAGAGGTTGCAGTGAGTCGAGATCATGCCACTGTATTCCAGCCTAAGCAACAGAGTGAGACTCTGTCAAAAAAAAAAAAAAAAAAAAAAAAAAAAAGGTAAAATACTGAAGATTAAAAATGTATATAATGCATTTACTTCTATAGTTGAACCACGCCGTCTACTGTTTTTGTTTTGCTAGATTCCTTCTTAATTTTTTTCTGAAAATAGTACTCTAGTGAGGCCCCAATCACTAAACTCTATCCCCAATTTTAGAAGTATCCCCAATTTTAACTAAAGCTTGGCCAATAAAAAAGTTTCTTATCCTTCGGACCACAATGATTGACACAGGAATCTGATAAAACCTTGAGCTTTTATACAAAAACATTGAGAAAGAGAAAACATCTTGACTACCTGTGCTGATGTAAGCCTGGATCTGTCAGAGGTCATAGGCTTCCATGGTATGAAGTAAGTCACAAGGGGAATGAGTCCAACTTATCGGATGAGGTTTAGGAGAGAGACAGATGACTGAGAACCTAAAGACATGATTTAAGCTTGGGATTCCCAACTAAAAACACCAGTAATTCCCCTTTTATTGCTTAACCGAGGTTGACTTAATTTCTCTATTTCTTTTTTTTATTTTATTTTATTTTATTATTATTATTATACTTTAAGTTTTAGGGTACATGTGCACAATGTGCAGGTTTGTTACATATGTGTACATGTGCCATGTTGGTGTACTGCACCCATTAACTCATCATTTAGCATTAGGTATATCTCCTAATACTATCCCTCCCCCCTCCCCCTACCCCACAACAGTCCCCGGAGTGTGATATTCCCCTTCCTGTGTCCATGTGTTCTCGTTGTTCAATTCCCACCTATGAGTGAGAACATGCGGTGTTTGGTTTTTGGTCCTTGTGATAGTTTGCTGAGAATGACAATTTCCAGTTGCATCCATGTCCCTACAAAGGACATGAACTCATCATTTTTTATGGCTGCATAGTATTCCATGGTGTATATGTGCCACATTTTCTTAATGCAGTCTATTGTTGTTGGACATTTGGGTTGGTTCCAAGTCTTTGCTATTGTGAATAGTGCTGCAGTAAACATACATGTGCATGTGTCTTTATAGCAGCATGATTTATAGTCCTTTGGGTATATACCCAGTAATGGGATGGCTGGGTCAAATGGTATTTCTAGTACTAGATCCCTGAGGAATCGCCACACTGACTTCCACAATGGTTGAACTAGTTTACAGTCCCATCAACAGTGTAAAAGTGTTCCTAGTTCTCCACATCCTCTCCAGCACCTGTTGTTTCCTGACTTTTTAATGATACCATTCTAACTGGTGTGAGATGGTATCTCATTGTGGTTTTGATTTGCATTTCTCTGATGGCCAGTGATGATGAGCATTTTTTCATGTGTTTTTTGGCTCCATAAATGTCTTCTTTTGAGAAGTGTCTGTTCATATCCTTCGCCCACTTTTTGATGGGGTTGTTTTTTTCTTGTAAATTTGTTTGAGTTCATTGTAGATTCTGGATATTAGCCCTTTGTCAGATGAGTAGGTTGCGAAAATTTTCTCCCATTTTGTAGGGTGCCTGTTCATTGTGATGGTAGTTTCTTTTGCTGTGCAGAAGCTCTTTAGTTTAATTAGATCCCATTTTTCAATTTTGGCTTTTGTTGTCATTGCTTTTGGTGTTTTAGACATGAAGTCCTTGCCCATGCCTATGTCCTGAATGGTAATGCCTAGGTTTTCTTCTAGGGTTTTTATGGTTTTAGGTCTAACATGTACGTCTTTAATCCATCTTGAATTGATTTTTGTATAAGGTGTAAGGAAGGGATCCAGTTTCAGCTTTCTACATATGGCTAGCCAGTTTTCCCGGCACCATTTATTAAATAGGGAATCCTTTCCCCATTGCTTGTTTTTGTCAGGTTTGTCAAAGATCAGATAGTTGTAGATATGCAGCATTATTTCTGAGGGCTCTGTTCTGCTCCATTGATCTATATCTCTATTTTGGTACCAGTACCATGCTGTTTTGGTTACTGTAGCCTTGTAGTATAGTTTGAAGTCAGGTAGCCTGATGCCTCTGGCTTTGTTCTTTTGGCTTAGGATTGACTTGGCGATGCGGGCTCTTTTTTGGTTCCATATGAACTTTAAAGTAGTTTTTTCCAATTCTGTGAAGAAAGTCATTGGTAGCTTGTTGGGGATGGCATTGAATCTATAAATTACCTTGGGCAGTATGGCCATTTTCACGATATTGATTCTTCCTACTCATGAGCATGGAATGTTCTTCCATTTGTTTCTATCCTCTTTTATTTCATTGAGCAGTGGTTTGTAGTTCTCCTTGAAGAGGTCCTTCACGTCCCTTGTAAGTTGGATTCCTAGGTATTTTATTTTCTTTGAAGCAATTGTGAATGGGAGTTCACTCATGATTTGTCTCTCTGTTTGTCTGTTGTTGGTGTATAAGAATGCTTGTGATTTTTGTACATTGATTTTGTATCCTGAGACTTTGCTGAAGTTGCTTATCAGCTTAAGGAGATTTTGGGCTGAGACAATGGGGTTTTCTAGATATACAATCATGTCATCTGCAAACAGGGACAATTTGACTTGCTCTTTTCCTAATTGAACACCCTTTATTTCCTTCTCCTGCCTAATTGCCCTGGCCAGAACTTCCAACACTATGTTGAATAGGGGTGGTGAGAGAGGGCATCCCTGTCTTGTGCCAGTTTTCAAAGGGAATGCTTCCAGTTTTTGCCCATTCAGTATGATATTGGCTGTGGGTTTGTCATAGATAGCTCGTATTATTTTGAGATACATCCCATCAATACCTAATTTATTGAGAGTTTTTAGCATGAAGGGTTGTTGAATTTTGTCAAAGGCCTTTTCTGCATCTATTGAGATAATCATGTGGTTTTTGTCTTTGGTTCTGTTTATATGCTGGATTACATTTATTGATTTGCGTGTATTGAACCAGCCTTGCATCCCAGGGATGAAGCCCACTTGATCATGGTGGATAAGCTTTTTGATGTGCTGCTGGATTCGGTTTGCCAGTATTTTATTGAGGATGTTTGCATCAATGTTCATCAAGGATATTGATCTAAAATTCTCTTTTTTGGTTGTGTCTCTGCCAGGCTTTGGTATTAGGATGATGCTGGCCTCATAAAATGAGTTAGGGAGGATTCCCTCTTTTTCTATTCATTGGAATAGTTTCAGAAGGAATGGTACCAGCTCCTCCTTGTACCTCTGGTAGAATTTGGCTGTGAATCCATCTGGTCCTGGACTCTTTTTGGTTGGTAAGCTATTGATTATTGCCACAATTTCAGATCCTGTTATTGGTCTATTCAGAGATTCAACTTCTTCCTGGTTTAGTCTTGGGAGAGTGTATGTGTCAAGGAATTTATCCATTTCTTGTAGATTTTCTAGTTTATTTGTGTAGAGGTGTTTGTAGTATTCTCTGATGGTAGTTTGTATTTCTGTGGGATCGGTGGTGATGTCCCCTTTATCATTTTTTACTGCGTCTATTTGATTCTTCTCTCTTTTCTTCTTTAATAGTCTTGCTAGTGGACTATCAATTTTGTTGGTCATTTCAAAAAACCAGCTCCTGGATTCATTAAATTTTTGAAGGGTTTTTTGTGTCTCTATTTCCTTCAGTTCTGCTCTGATTTTAGTTATTTCTTGCCTTCTGCTAGCTTTTGAATGTGTTTGCTCTTGCTTTTCTAGTTCTTTTAATTGTGATGTTAGGGTGTCAATTTTGGATCTTTCCTGCTTTCTCTTGTGGGCATTTAGTGCTATAAATTTCCCTCTACACACTGCTTTGAATGTGTCCCAGAGATTCTGGTGTGTTGTATCTTTGTTCTCGTTGGTTTCAAGGAACATCTTTATTTCTGCCTTCATTTCGTTATGTACCCAGTAGTCATTCAGGAGCGGATTGTTCAGTTTCCATGTAGTTGAGCGGTTTTGAGTGAGTTTCTTAATCCTGAGTTCTAGTTTGATTGCACTGTGGTCTGAGAGACAGTTTGTTATAATTTCTGTTCTTTTACATTTGCTGAGGAGAGTTTTAATTCCAACTATGTGGTCAATTTTGGAATAGGTGTGGTGTGGTGCTGAAAAAAATGTATATTCTGTTGATTTGGGGTGGAGGGTTCTGTAGATGTCTATTAGGTCTGCTTGGTGCAGAGCTGAGTTCAATTCCTGGATATCCTTGTTAACTTTCTGTCTCGTTGATCTGTCTAATATTGACAGTGGGGTGTTAAATTCTCCCATTATTATTGTGTGGGAGTCTAAGTCTCTTTGTAGGTCACTCAGGACTTGCTTTATGAATCTGGGTGCTCCTGTATTGGGTGCATATATATTAGGATAGTTAGCTCTTCTTGTTGAATTGATCCCTTTACCATTATGTAATGGCCTTCTTTGTCTCTTTTGATCTTTGTTGGTTTAAAGTCTGTTTTATCAGAGACTAGGATTGCAACCCCTGCCTTTTTTTGTTTTCCATTTGCTTGGTAGATCTTCCTCCATCCCTTTATTTTGAGCCTATGTGTGTCTCTGCACGTGAGATGGGTTTCCTGAATACAGCACACTGATGGGTCTTGACTCTTTATCCAATTTGCCAGTCTGTGTCTTTTAATTGGAGCATTTAGCCCATTTACATTTAAAGTTAGTATTGTTATGTGTGAATTTGATCCTGTCATTATGATGTTAGCTGGTTATTTTGCTCGTTAGTTGATGCAGTTTCTTCCTAAACATGGGAAAATAGACACTGTAGACTCCTACAGGGGGGAAGGGGAGGTGTGAGTGGGGTGAAAAGCTACCTAATGGGTACTATAGTCACTACCGGGGTGCAATATACTTATATAACAAACCTGCACATGTGTCCCCTGTATCTAAACTAAAAATTTAAATTGAAAAAAAGAAGATGAAGAGTATGGAACAAAGCCATATGCCGTTGTTATTATTTTGTCAAAGAAAGAAGGAAAAAGGGAGAAGGAAGGAAGGAAGGTAGTCAGAAAGAGGGGAGTGAAGGGACGGTTTTTCAGAAAATGATTTTAAAAATATTAATTTTTGAAGTGGGGTATGATTACAAGAAAATTAGAATACCTTGGGAAAATTCCTTTAGAAAACAATTAAGAATTTTATTACAACTATTTTTATTACAGGGATAGAAATACAGTTTCTTATGTGTATATGGAACTGTAACATTCTCAAATATTTGCAGGCATTATTAGGAAGACAGATTATGAAATCTTTCTACTCATTATTTTAACTTCAACTTTATTTGTCCTACATGGCAAGCCTAGCATGTCATTAAAAATAGAACTTTAAAATAGTGAGTAATAGTGGTTGAAAATTGACTGGTAATATTGCAAACTATTTACAAAAGATAAAAGATAAAAGGAACTCCTCAATCCCCAAACTACTAAAAAGGCAAATTTTCAAAGCTTTGAAGAAACAGTAGTATAAAGGAACACATGTACAAACTATTTAAAAATATTCTTACATACTTTCACATAAATATATTTAATGTCTAATAAATTTCTAGAGATTATGGTTTGACCAAAAAAATAAACAAGGAAGGGACTTTCCTGCCTTTCAATTTTCTTGGATTTAAGCAGAAGGAATGGCAGAGTTTCCTGCTGCTGATTTCACATATTTCCTCCTCCTATATGTATTTACTCTCAATCTTTATACTGTGGAACAACTTAAAGCAATTTGAGAAGGCAGATGAAAGTTAAAATCACAAAATGATAAGTTATCTCTTAAAAGTGTTTAGAATTTTTGTACTAAGCACAAAACAATGCCTCTCAATTTAAAGACAATCTCAACAAATTATACTATGCTAGACAGCCTCTAAAATGGCCCCAGTAATCCATTCCTTGTAGTATTCACAGCCCTGTGCAATTCTCTTCCCTTGAGTTACTTGCTTCTAACCAACAGAATATGGCAATGATGATGGGATGTCACTTACGTGATTATGTTTCTAAAGATTGTGACTTTCACCAGGCTAGCCATCTCTATTGTTTTCATGGCTTGCATATTGTGATGAAGTAACCTGTCCTGTTGAAGAGGCACACATGGCAGAAAACTGAGGGCAGCCTCCAGCATATAGCCAGATTGAGACCCTCAGTCCAGCACCCTTAGAGGAACTGAATACTGCCTGAAACCACAAAGGCAAATGACATTGGAGCCTTCAGATATGACTGCAGACACCAAGCCCATATCTTTTTTAAAATTGATATATAATGGTTGTACATTACAGTTGGGTTTACTTGTGATATTTTGATACCTGAATACAATGTGTATTATCAAATCAGGATAATTGAGACATTCATCACCCCAAATATTAATTTTTCTGTTGGAAAGAACACAAATATTCTCTTATAGCTATTTTGAAACATACAATAAATACAACAATTTGTTAAGAGATAGGCAATGTAAAATATGTAAACTGTGACATCAAAAATTCAAGATGGAGTGAGGGGAGAAGGGAATTAATGGGCACAGGTGTTTCTTTGGTTGGTTTGTTTGTTTCTTTTCTTTTTTTTTTGTGACCTCACATTTTAATTTCTGTTTTATGGAAAATCATATAAGATAAGTCATGCCTAGGTTATTGATCCACAGAAACTGAGATAATGAATGTGTATTGTTTTAAGCTGCTAAATTAGGGGATAATTTGTTATGGAACAGTCAGTAACTAATATACAAAAGTTACTTTCATCATGTTGAATTCAAATGCAAAATTAGTGGGGCTAATGTATTTATAATATTACCTAATGTTAACAAGTGTGTAGAAATACTGAATTCCAGTTGCTTCCATATACTTTAAACAAGTGGAATTTACTATTTCATAAATGTAACTTATCCAGTTTCATCTGTTACTACTGAACTCAAAGAGGAAGAGGAATGAAATTAAAAGTGAGAAGAATTTTTCCAGAATAAAGAACACTGTACTTATATAGTGGGATTGTAGCATTTGGCTAATCATAAATAAGATAATATCCAAAATGTTCTATATCCATAAAGAGCATTCGCATATATATTGTATTTATTCTGTTTTTACCATAACTATTTATTGACCATTTACTTTTTATCAGAAATTGTTATAGGTATGTGAACCACAGTGGTAAGCAGTATGTTTTATTTTTCTTACCTTCAGCTATAACCTTAGAGGTTGTAGGTCAATGCAAAACTTGAACTCTCGTTCCCTAAATCCACATCCATCACCATCCCTCTAACCATGTGGCCTGTAAGATTTGATCCTTAATGGCCTGAGTTTTAAATTATTACTAAAACTATAGTTAGATATTCACATATGTTCTTTTAATACTGTTTATCTACAATATTTATTATTAATGAGAGACCATTTCTCACCTTGTACAGTGTGCCTGCATCAGATAGCTATTCCTCTGGTAAAATGTCTATAGCATCTTCACTGTCACTTATCAAAAATGTTAACTTTTATGTGCATAAAAAGTATTTAATGAAATAAGTAATTTCAGTGCTCAATGTTTTATGGTGTTTATAAAACCAAGATATATTCATGAATATAAATTTCAAATTGGCATACACATATACATATATATTAAATAAATATGGGTGTAGGGCAAAATAAATGTTCAAATATGCAGCCATTTCCCATCTAAATAATGTCATTCAAATGTGATAAGGCAAGAAAGTGAAATTTCCTCCTCATAAAATGTATTCCTGGTGATTCATACTTCTGTAGCTAGAGCAGACCATGCCATCTGGTATACAAAGTGAATGCTACCAGGAACAGTGGGACAACAAACTCATAAGCCCAGAAACTCATGATTTCAGAATTCAATAGATTTCACTGAGATTTATTTGAAGACATTGAAAGTTACAAAATAATACTGTTTTTTTTTTTTTTAGATAAGGAATGGAAGGTTATATCTCTCTGTGATAACAAAGGCATAGTGCTATTAGTTACTAATCCTTTTCCTCCTTCTCGCTACTCCATCTCACCGCACACATGGAAATTTATATTTCAAAACCTTGTGCACTAATAAGGTATCTCAGTTCAAGTGATCATCCAGAAACATATCATCAAATAAAATGCTAGAAACAGTAGAAATAAATTGAACAAAAATAGCACTTGATCTTTTTAAGGAGAAAATCATAAAAGCAGCTAAAGACCAAAGGAAGCAGACATCACTGAGAACATCTTATATGTGTGGAAAAAGCCCAGATATAAGTGCTTGGTGTCAATGTGATTAATATGTGTAACAAAAGGCTAAGGGAGAATAAAAGCTTAATAACAGAATCACATTAACAGTCACAGCCTAAATTCAAATCTATGCTTCATTTTTATCTTCTTCAAAACCCAGTTTCACTTCATTGTGAAAACAGAGGTAATTTTGGTATGCATCTCAAAGGATTATTGTGAATATTACATTAAACAATATAAATAAAACAAAAAGGATAGTTCCTATCACATAGTAAGAACATTAACATTGGAGAATGTTTAATACTGGAAAAGATAACTACAAGAAAGTGCTACATTGAGCTGGAATGACAGCACTATTAAGTTCACTCTGATTCAATCTTCCACCATTTGTATAGTCTAATTCATTGCCTAGACCCTAGTCCCATAGTCACACCAAATTTCAGGGAGACTGTGAAATGTAATCAAGGTTTAGTTACAAAAAGGAAGAGAAGAATGTATGTTGGAATATGCAACTGTCACTTTCTGACACAAACGTGTTGCCATTTAAGTATAAATTTGAACTGAACCCATTGCTCATTAATAATTATATACTAAATATTCAGCTGCTTCTGGAATCTTGATAGCTGATGACTAACTGTAGCATCATGACATATTCCCCTAAAGTTTTCCCTTTGCACTCTTGATCATAACTTAAATAAGGCTGAAATAAGGCAGACACCTGTCTGTTCCACTATCCCCAATTTTCTTTTTTTTTAATTTTTGAAAATTTTTATTTTTATTTTAAGTTCTGGTATACATGTGCAGAATGTGCAGGTTTGTTACATAGGTAAACAAGTGCCCTGGTGATTTTCTGCACCTATCAACCCATCACCTGGGTATTAAGCCCAGCATGCATCAGCTATTTTTCCTAATACTCGCCCTCCCCCCACCCTACCCCCCAACAGGCCTGAGGGTATATTGTTCGTCTCCCTATGTCCATGTGTCATTGTTCAGCTCCCACTTATAAGTGAGAACCTGTGGTGTTTGGTTTTCTGTTTCTTTGTTAATTTGCTGAGGATAGTGGCTTCCAGCTCCATCCATGTCCCTGCAAAGAACATCATCTTGTTCCTTTTCATGGCTGCACAGTATTCCATAGTATATATGTACCACATTTTTTTAATCCAGTCTATCACTGATGGGCATTTGGGTTGATTCCATGTCTTTGCTATTGTGAATAGTACTGCAATGAACATACGCATGCATGCATCTTTGTAATAGAATGATTTATAATCCTTTGGGTATATATCCATTAATGAGATATATTAATGACCTTTGGGGAATTGCCACACCATTTTCACAATGGTTAAACTAATTTACATTCCCACCAACACTGTAAAAGTATTCCTATTTCTCCACATCTATTGTTTCTTGACTTTTTAATAATTGGCATTCTGACTAGTGTGAGATAGTATCTCATTGTAGTTTTGATTTGCATTTCTCTAATGATCAGTGATTGATATAATTTGGCTCTGTGTTCCCACCCAAATCTCATCGTGTAGCTCCCATAATTCCCATGTGTTGTGGGAGGGACCCAGTGGGAGATGAATGAATTAATGGGGCGAGTCTTTCCTGTGCTGTTGTGATAGTGAATGGGTCTCATGAGATCTAATGGTTTAAAAACAGGAGTTGCTCTGCACAAACTCTTTTTTTGCTGCTGCCTTGCATGTAAGATGTGATTTGCTCCTCCTAGCTTTCTGCCATGATTGCGAGGCCCTCCCCACCCATGTGGAACTGTAATAATAAGAAAGAGTAATAAACCTCTTCCTTTTGTAAATTGCCCAGGCTTGGGTATGTCTTTATCAGCAGCATGAAAACAGACTAATACAGTGATGTTGAACTTTTTTTCATATGTTTGTTGGCCACATGGATGTCTTCTTTTGAGAAGTGTCTGTTCATGTTCTTTGCCTACTTTTTAATGGAGTCATTTGTTTTTTCTTGTAAATTTGTTTTAGTTCTTTGTAGATTTTGGATATTAGATCTTTGTCAGATGGATAGATTGCAAAAATTTCCTCACATTCTGTAAGTTGCCTGTTTGCCCTGATGATAGTTTCTTTTGCTGTGTAGAAGCTCTTTAGTTTAATTGGATTCCATTTATCAACTTTTGCTTTTGTTGCAATTGCTTTTGGTGATTTAGTAATGAAATCTTTGCCTGTGCCTATGTCTTGAATGATTGCCTAGATTTTCTTCAGGCATTTTTAGACTGAAACAGGAAGAAGTTGAATCCCTGAATAGATGAATAACAAGTTCTGAAATTGAGGCAGTAATAAATAACCTACCAATAAAAAACAGCCCAGGACCAGATGGATTTACAGTTGAATTCTACCAGAAATACAAAGAGGAGCTAATACCCTTTCTTCTGAAACCATTCCAAATGGTGGAAAAGGAGGGACTCCTCCCTAACTCATTCTATGAAGCTAGCGTCATCCTGATGCCAAAACCTAACAGAGCTACAAAAAAAAAAGAAAACTTCAGACCAATATTCCTGATGAAAATCAATGCAAAAATTCTCAATAAAATACTAGCAAACTGAACACAGCAGTATGTCAAAAAGCTTGTCCCACAATCAAGTTGGCTTCATCCATGGGATGCAAGACTGGTTTAACACACACAAGTCAGTAAATGCAATTCATCACATAAATAGATCTAAAGACGAAAACCACATGATTATCTCAATAAATGCAGAAAAGGCCTTTGATAAAATTCAACCTCCCTTCATGTTAAAAACACTCAATAAACTAGGTACTGAAGGAACATACCTCAAAATAATAAGAGCCATTTATGACAAACCCAGAGCAAATATCAACCTGAATGGGCAAAAGCTGGAAGCATTCTCCTTGAAAACCAGCACAAGACAAGGATGTCCTCTATATTAGTCAGGGTTCTCTAGAGGGACAGAATTAATAGGATAGATGCATATATAAAGAGGAGTTTATTAAGGAGTGTTGACTCGCGGAATCACAAGGTACGGTCCAATAGTAGGCTGTCTGCAAGCTGAGGAGCAAGGAAGCCAGTCCGAGTCCCAAAGCTGAAGAACTTGGAGTCTGATGTTTGAGCACAGAAAGCATCCAGCATAGGAGAAAGATGTAAGCTGCAGGCTAAGCCAGTCTAGTCTTTTCAGTTTCTTCTGCCTAATTTTATTCTGGCCACACTGGCAGCTGATTAGATGGTGCCCACCCAGATTAAGGGTGGGTCTGCCTTTCCCAGTTCACTGACTCAAATGTTAATCTCCTTTGGCAACACCCTCACAGACACACCCAGGGACAATATCTTGCATACTTCAATCCAATCAAGTTGACACTCAATTAACCATTACATTTCACTACTCCTATTCAAAATAGTATTGGAAGTTCTGGCCAGGGAAATCAGGCAAGATAAAGAAATAAAGGGTATTCAAATAGGAAGAGAACAAGTCAAATTGTCATTGCTTGCAGATGACATGATCCCATATCTAGAAAACCCCGTCATCTCAGCCCAAAAACTTCTTAAGCTGATATGTAACTTCAGCAAAATCTCAGGATATCCCTCAATTTCCATCACAAAACAAATATACAATTGGCCTTATAATCTGAAGGGAAATAAAGCAAGACTTGGTAGAGAGAGTTGAGAAGTTCACTTCTGAAGTACGGAGAATCTCTAAATTTCTTTCAGCACTCTATAAACTTATTATACATTTTTCTATAAGAATAGCGTTTTTCCTTTCATTGCAGGAAGCATGCCAATCTCCAAATCTCTGTCATATATGCTTCTGGTTAGGAAACATTTTTTTAAAAAGGGTTTTTTTTTAATTTGTTTTTTGTTGTTGTTTGTTTTTGTTTTCGTTTGTTTGTTTTTAAAAAAGGAGACACAAAATAAGAGTTGGGGTGATGGACAGGGAGAGAATGTAGAGAAGGAAGAAATGAATGTGAAGATGAAGGAACACATTCCCCCACTTCTCAAGTCCACCTAGGGGTAGTGGACCCTGTGATACCCTCTTTTAAGGAAGCTACCACTTGCTGTGCCCTATGTGATAAGGTAGAGTTGCACTTGGAATACTTGCTCTTAGGAGCTCCTTTGCTTTTTGAGCCTCTCTCTAGGTCTGTGTTTGTTGTTTTTCCTGAAGAAATACCTTTCTCGGCTGGGGGCGGTGGCTCACGCCTGTAATCCCAGCACTTTGGGAGGCCGTGGCAGGTGGATCACGAGGTCAGGAAATCGAGACCATCCTGGCTAACACAGTGAAACCCCGTCTCTACCAAAAATACAAAAAAAAATTAGCCGGATGTGGTGGAATGGCGTGAACCCGGGAGGCGAAGCTTGCAGTGAGCCAAGGTCGCGCCAGTGCACTCCAGCCTGGGCGACAGAGCAAGACTCCAACTCAAAAAAAAAAAAAAAAAAGAAAGAAATACCTTTCTCCATGTTCTCTATGTGGTAAAATCTTACTAATCCTCTGAAATACAGTTCGATTTTGGTAGTTATGCCACTGCCATTTATCTGTCCTAAAGCACAAGCATATATCCTTGCTACTCATCAGCTAGGAGCTTATTAGAAATGCAGATGTTCAGATATATTAATCAGCATCACATGTGACAAAATCTTCAGATGATTTGTATGTACGTTAGAGTTTAAGAAGTATTAGTTCCCATTGCCAATCATTTTAATCATTTTATATTTTAAAAATTTATGTACATAGAATATCTAATTTTATCGTGAGCAACGATAGGTAAAATATAATTTATTTATATTTGAATCAACAGCTTTTAACATTGTATTTGTTCAGTAAGTATACTATAAGTAAGTGAAAATAATTTGAAAAGTACCTGTAGTGAAAAAAAATTAGTCAAGAAATGTAAATGTCAAATGTTGATCAATAATTATTACAAATACTGTCATTAACTATATTCACCATTCTGCTCTCTGCTTCTATGAGTTCAATTTTTTATATTCCACATATAAGTGAGAACATTTGTCTTTCTGAGTTTGGCTCATTTCACTTAGCATAATGTCTCCAATTCCATCTATGTTGTGGTAAATAACAGAATTTCTTCTTCTTTTCAGTACGAGTAGTATTCTACTGTGGATATATACCACATTTTCTTTATCCATTATTTCATTGATGGATAAAACTTAGGTTGGTTCTTTAACTGTACATTTCAATATTGCTAAGAGAGTATATCTCAAATGGTCTCATCACAAAAAAATGTCAAATATTTCGGGTGATAGTTAAGTTGCTTAGCTTGATTTAATACTACATTACACATTGTATTCAAATATCATAATATCACTTTTTACCCCATAAACATATATAATGACAATTTGTCCATATATAATTTTAAAAATTAAAAATATACTAAAAATAGATACCTAATGATTATATTTTATTACTTAAAATTTTCAAAGCAACTAGTAGTAATATCATTTTTCTTACATTGCTGGTGAACAGAACAAAATGCCACGTTATACCCCAATATTCACAATTATTATTTGTCAGTTTTAAAAACAAAAAATATTTTATTCATCTTAATATATTTATGTAACTTGGAAAATGATATTTTTTACTTCTCCAGGACAGAACTTGAGAAAAGGAAAACTCTTTGCTAAAAGAACAATTGAGTCATAATTAAGGTGTTTATTTCAAAGGCTTCCTTTGTATATGCAGAAAGACATCACTAAGAGTATCATACTTCAGAAATTTATCTACTATCTTGTTCTTTTAGGCCTGAAAAAGGACACTAAACATAACTCTAAAAAATGAATTAATAACTTTTTGGGAAAAGAGGCAGCTTGTAAGTTATAAGAAATCTATTTGCTTCTTTTTCATTTTGTATTAAAATTACATTGTCTTTAAAAATTAGTATTTTTTCTCTTGGAAAGGGTGTATGTAAATGTGTGTGTGCGTGTGTGTGTGTGTGTTTGGTTGAACAACTACACTGTGGATGCCTGTGATAATAAATGGGTATGTCTGCATCTCCCATTGGGAGGGAGATCTTTAAATAAAACTGTTTTGAAGGGCTCAAGCCCTTGCTGTACTTTATGGGGTGACTAAGAGCAGCCAGATACCCTAGACTTTGACATTCTGTTTTTCAAACATCATTATGCATGTTTTGTGGAACTCCAGCTCTGGTGTTAGTTTTAAAGGAATATCTCAGAATTAGGGAAATGCACTACCCATGAAATAACGGACTGATTGATGGGCACGGGGTAAGACCAATTCCTCTTGGAAGGAGACTTCTAATTGCTGAGTGAAGAGCAGAATGCTAGAGCTGAAGCGTATGAGGCATGCAGCAGGGAGTCAGCAGTGAGAATGCCCATTGAGAGAGTTTAACTTCCCCTTAATCCAGGCACTGCCAACCCAGGTGCCTCCCATGTGAGGCAGGCAACAGAAATGAATCTAGCTGCCAGGTGGAAGGGTGTCTGCATATTCAGTGTGAGTGGTAGAAAAATGAGAAAGCACATTTTTGGTTTAAGTGGGTGGCTTAGTTTGCTCGGCTGCTACAACGAATGCCATAGACAGGGAGGCTGAAACAATAGAAATAGATTTCTCACAGTTCTGGAGACTGGGAAGTCCAAGATTAAGGTCCAAGCTGGTGGAAGATTCATTTCCTGGTGAGGGCCCATTTCCTGGCTTGTAGGCAGCAACCTTCTTGCTGTGTCCTCATGTGGCCTTTTCTCAGGGCAATCACATGAAGAGAGAGGAAGAAAGAGAGACAGATCTTTCTGTTACTCTGTTCTTAAAAGTACATTATTCCATCCTGAGTGGTCTACACTCATGACCTCATCTTAACCTAATTATCTCCCAAAGGCTTCACATCCAAATACCGTTTCAATGGGAGTTAGGGCTTCAAAGTATGAATTTCAGGGAGAACATTAAGCATTCAGTCCATAACAGGAGGAATCCATCATTCAGCTCTAGCCTAATGTTGCCACCCACACACATCTACCAGCCGAGTGCTCTCTGATAATTATTTTACAAAAATAGTGGAAATCTGGTTTTTCCTGTAAATTATATCAAAGTAACAGCACATTTTTCAGATCAGCTGTATCTCATAATGGCTGGTTTGTAACCTCCTTTTTGGAGGTTACAAAATGCAAAATGTCTTCTTTCATTAGATGTCAACTTTAAGCTTTCTCCTCTTTTTGGTAATTCTCTTTGAAAAGCAAAGCAAGGATTGAAACAACTGAGTACAGGGGAAATATAGATAATTCTCTATCAACTGGTTTTCCACTATCTGCTGAGTAGCCAACATCTCATTAAATTGGTTGCCTCTAGGAGTGTCAAGGTCTGGGATCACTGTGGAGTGGCAGTAAATAAAAAGGCCTATGGCTTGAAGAATTGATGTTAAAGTGGCTTCTCAAAGGGGTTATGAGTAAAAGGTCCTCTTTCTCACTCTATGTTAACTAGGCAAAGATAGACCTTGGACAGGAGTGGAGGCTGGATGAAGTAGAGGACAGCATTATATTTATGACCTGTAAAGGCCTGATTGTCCTCTTACAAATATGAATCCAAACTTCAGAAAGATAATTCAGTGCTCCAAGCAGATATTATTTGCTTCCTCTTGTAAAAAAAAAGTTACTTTTATTTTACAGAAAAAAATGTATAAGGTTTTAATGTCAGGCTGGAGGAAAATTTCAAATTAGTGGTTACGAATATCAGCAAACAGGGATAATTAAGATACATGTATGAATCATGACCCTGATGGTTTTGAACTATATATGACAATTCCATTTCCAAAAAAATACTTTCACATCCTGTGGACATTTTCCAAGGGAAATTTTCTTGTAGATATTTAAAAATATCATATTACTTATAAATTTTTAGATGGAATATTTAATTTTGGAGAGTAATCCCTGCTGCTAATGATTTTTAGGGTTATTATCATATTGAAAGTTAGAATTACCTGAGTAACAATACAAATCCCCAAAACAGAAAATATAATTATTAGTATCTAATATGCGTTTTTGCTATTTATAATTTTAGAAAGGTAAATTATTTATTTAGAAAGGTAAATTTTAGAAAGGTAAATTTAGAAAGATTAATTTCTCTGAGAATTTATTATAACCAAAAGTTTCAATTAAGATAATGGAAACAAAAAACCCTAATTAATTAAAAGTTTTTCATATATTCAAAATAAGCCAAGATGCAGAAACAGGAAATCATACGTTTTCAGGTGTACTTTTAAAAGGTTGAGTATTACCAGGTAAGAGGTAGGCTGTCTCATAAAATCAACAGTTACTTTACATTCTATAATTGGCTATTTTAAGAAGTGTATGTGTATGTATGTGCGTATATGCATATATGTATATATGATGGCCTAAATCACGTATCAAAATATAAATTTGATATGAAAACAATAGTCAATTTTTCATTCTGCTCATTTTTATTATAAATCGCTACCACTTAAACATAGAATTAAATGTAGATTTTGAAAGGTCAACTAACATTTAAATTTTTAAACTCAATATCATAATAGTACTGTGATTTGATTTAAATTATCTTGAAAAATAACTATTGTGAAATTCTAAAGTATGTTCAATATAGATGATGCATATGGGCTTTACATATAAGTGGAACCAATTTTGTATTCTGGGGAAATTGCAACAACTAATGTTACATTTTAAGCAGGAATAGCATTCTCTAATGTTATGTACCCATGCAGGATGTGTGTGAGTGTATATTTTGTCCTGCATTGGAGTTTTTGTTCTCTTTGGGATTCCGATCCAAGCCCTTATTCTCTGTGTTTGACACATGTTCACACACAGAGGTGGAGCATGCTGGAGAAGTCATCTGCTTACACTGAAAAGAAAATATCCTCTGTATTGAGCACGCAATCAAAAGAATAAGTCCAGTAACTGTTGAAAATTCCTTTAAATTTAATAATCATTAATGAGAAATTTCCCAAATTTACTCAATAAAAATAACAATACTTTCTCCTTTCACCTACTTATGATTTAATGTTATTTGCTATTTTAAAGTATGAAATTTACTGAAAATTAAAATGTCTCAAAATGTTAGAATTTGTAGTTTATATTATGTCTTATAATCACACATCAATTTTTGTGGCCCTTGAAAAAATGATGTAGGGAATATGTTACCTATTTCAAAAATATACTTCTAAAAGTAGAAAATAACATTTGTAAATAAACTTAATTCATATATCAAAAAGGTAAAGTCACTTTTGAACTTTGATTTCACATATCTCATTATAATAAATATAAAAGTAATTCTCAAAAATAAGTTTGTCAAGCTCAGTAATTTATAGAGTTCATCATTATAATGTAACTGATAGATTATACACATTATATAGATGATAATTTGTTGTGTGTGTGTGTAAACTTTGTCCTGATATCTAGCATTCCCCCAACAAGACCTCGCAATTTGAAAATGTTTAGTCTTTCATCACAGATGTCAGATCTTCTGCTAAGCATGATAACATCAATGAATTCTCTTAATGAGCCATTATTCTCTGCTTTTCTCCCTTTTAGCTTGTAAGAAACAGGTATGCAGGTGCAGAAACACACTCAAAATTTCTAATAACCATTGGCACATAACTAATGATCCAAGTGATAAGGCTTGAAGTTGCTGCTGAGTCAATCCAAGCATCGTTTTTTATTGAAAAGAAATGTGAACACTGTAGTATTCTGAGATGGAGTGAATAATAGGAAAATATTTTAAATGTCTGAATTATTACCTTGTCAAAATAATATTTAAATCTTTTTTTTCTAGTAGCATAACACTGGGGATAAAATCATCTGAGATTTAGGGTGAAATGTGTAAATTCTGGTTGAAAATTTTACTTTTTGATTCAATTTCTAATTCACTCCTCTATGTAAATTATATATTCATCGTGATTTAAATTTTATTTTTATATAGAAGTAGAGGATGTGTGTATATTGTGTGAATGAAGGATATGTATATATATATATGCAGAATTGGTCATAGGCTATTAGGCTATTTAAGTACATTTAACTTTACACATTTCATTTAATGTATATTAAATATCAGCGTATTTCACTTTATACACTTTAAATTTCCATGTCCTTCATACTGTATTAGTAAAGGTCATTTTGAAAAATTGTGGGTTCTACAGTCCACAATGAAAGCTCAAATTTGTTCTTATGAACCTTGAAGGTTGTTGTAAACCGTCCAAATTTCAGAAAAATACCGATTATTTCTGAATAAAAATCCAAATATAGATGCTTACGGTTAGATTGAGCCTGGATTGCCCTCAATTAAGAACAATTGAGTTTTTTTGTTGTTCGTTCATTTTACATGTCGTATTGGTACATGGTACATGTACTAGTGGTTTTCCAAAGTCCATGTTTTTAGTATCTTATATAAGAAATTAATTGTCAGCCGGGCGCAGTGGCTCACGCCTGTAATCCCAGCACTTTGGGAGGCCGAGACAGGCGGATCACAAGGTCAGGAGATTGAGACCATCCTGGCTAATATGGTGAGACCTTGTCTCTACTAAAAATACAAAAAAAAATGGCCAGGTATGGTGGCGGACGCCTGTAGTCCCAGCTACTTGAGAGGCTGAGGCAGGAGAATGGCATGAACCCCGGAGGTGGAGGTTGCAGTGAGCCAAGATCGAGCCACTGCACTCCAGCCTGGGTGACAGAGCGAGACTCCGTCTCAAAAAAAAAAAAAAAAAAAAAAAAAGTAAATAAATAAAAAAGAAAAGAAAAAGAAGATAAATTGTCTAACACAAAGCCCTGAGGATATTCTCCCTATGTTTTCTTAAATAATATATATTTTTTAACTTTCACATTTTAGTTATGGTATGAGGTAGAAATCTTTTTTTTAATGGATAACCAATTGTTCTAGCATCACTTATTGAAAAGACCATCATTTCTTTTCTAATTGCAGTAGTGCCTTTGTCGTAAATCAAGCACCCATCCTTGCACAAATATCCACCCAGCTGTCTTAATTGTTGCTTTAGTGTATGTGTTGAAATATGGCTAAGTTCTGCTTTTTTAATTTTCATTTTGAAGTCCGTATTGCCTAATCTAGGTCCTTTGTATTTCTACATGGTTTTAGAGAGTTTTTCCATTTCCACAAGAAGAAAGCATACTGAGATTTGTGTTGTTTTTTCATTGAAGCTGTAGATCCATTTGGAAGCACAAGATTGAGTTTTCCAATCCATAAGCAGGAAAATACCTTTATTTACTTATGTTTTTTTAAAATTATCTCTGCAATGGTCTATCACATTCCTCTCAAAAAGATCTAAGACATTTGGTTTTTTGATGATGTTATAATTTTTTTTTTAATTCTAGTTGGCTGTTGACCAGGCATTCAGCAACCTATCTAAACTCACTTTTTATTATTTGTATTTTTATTATTTTGACAAACTCAACAATGCATACTTTATTTCTTTGGTTCTTTTTATTGTTATTTCAATAGGGTTTCGGGGAACAGTTGGTGTTGGTTACATGACTAAGTTTTTTAGTGGCAATTTCTGAGATTTTGGTGCACCCATTGTCTGAGCAGAGTACACTGTATCCAATGTGTATTATTTTATCCCTCAACCCCTTCCCAAACTTTCCCCAGTGTCCCCAAAGTCCATTGTATCACTCTTATGCTTTTTCATACTCATAGCTTAGCTTCCGCTTATGAGTGAGAACATATGATGTTTGGTTTTCTGTTCCTGAGTTACTTCACTTAGAATAATGGTCTCCAATTCCATCCAAGTTGCTGAGTAAATTCACTTTTTAATACTAGTATTCTTATTTATGTATGTATTTATTTATTTATTGAGACAGAGTTTCACTCTTG
The DNA here is from genome assembly GCF_000001405.40 of Homo sapiens. NCBI lineage: Eukaryota > Metazoa > Chordata > Mammalia > Primates > Hominidae > Homo > Homo sapiens. The sequence goes on from NC_000007.14 coordinate 83,909,545, forward strand.
TTGCCCAGGCTGGAGGGCAGTGCCGCAATCTTGGCTTACTGTAGCCTCCGCCTCCCAGGTTCAAGCGATTCTCTTGCCTCAACCTCCTGAGTAGCTCGCCTGCCACTATGCCTGACTAATTTTTTGTATTTTTAGTAAAGACAAGGTTTCGCCATGTTGGCCAGGTTGGTCTCGAACTCCTGGCCTCAGATGATGCACCTGCCTTGGCCTCCCAAAGTGCTGGGATTACAGGCATGAGCCACGGCGCCTGGCCAATACTAGTATTTTTATAGAGTCTTTCGAATGTTGTAGACATACAATGAAAATAATGTTCCTTCCTTTCAGTCTTTATAGGTTTACTTATTTTCTTTTTATGGCATTGGATAGGCCCTTTGGGAAAAACTGAAAAGAAGTGATGAGAGTAGATATAATTGTCCTTTTTTCAACTTTAAAAAGAAAGTCTTACATATTTCACCTTTTAGAATTATACTAGCTATAGATATTCTGGTAGATGGCCCTTTATGATTAAATCAAATACGTTTTTTAAATGTCTAGTTGTTTGAGAATATTTATTATAAATATTTGTTAAATTTCATCAAATACCTCTTCTGCTTCTGGAGATGGTCACATATTTTTAACCCCTATTGTTAATGTGGTAATTCATATTGATTTTCTTTGTAATTATAATTAATTTCAAATTTATAAAACAACTCCCTCTGGGATATGGTGAGATATATGATGTGAATATTTTGTTTTAGATTGTTGTATCTGTGTACATGAGAAACGTTACAAATTCCCATTCTTGTAAAGTTCATACCTCACATTGGTATGGTGATTATGCTAGATGCAAGAATGAACTGGGAATTATTTCTTCCTTTCTATTCTCTAAAGTAGCTTTATAAAACTTATATATTCCTTTAATATTTAGAGAAATTTACCATTGAAGACATCTGGGCCTAGACTTTTCTTTATGTGAAGATTTTAAATTATGGTTTTAATATTTACAAAGTTATTTCCTAGATGATAATTTTTGTATTTTATCTTCAAGCATAAGTAAGGTTTGGAGCAATAATATGGAATAAGTGTTGATAAGTGAAACTCAGGCAAATGTAAGAACTCCTCAGGTAGTGTGGGAAGGATATCACTTCATACAGAAATTCAATTCACTAATGTAGAAGAAATGGAAGGGTGCTGTGGGTTACTTATAAGTTCCATTTAAAATGTGCATGAATTATGATTTTAAAACGGTACACTTTTATTGAGAAACAGAAAATGTTACGAAATGTTAACAGATTTTAGAAGTATGAGGAAGTTCTTGGTTTATTTTGTGAGATTATTTTTATATCTAAATGTAATTCTCTAAATTCACCTGTGCCAAAAACCATAGTTGTCTATATGTTTTCCTCTCTCACTTCTGCTGATGCACCTCAACAACCTACATATTTCAGAAAGCAGAATGAATTGCTTTGCATTTGGTTTTAATTATGTCCCCTGATTGGCTCAAGTATGTCTGAAAATTAAGGATTTCTCTTTTGAAATAATTGTAACAATTTGTTTAATATCAAAGACATCTAACATAAATTTCCTTGATTTTTCTTTGTAAGAATTCATGCCCTTCTAATTTAAGCTGGCATGAGAGAGAGACAGAGAGAAAAGCATATTTATTCTTTATTTATTGAGTTCTGAATTTTTACCAGGGTCATTGATGAAATCTTTCCATATGTCACTACACAAAATGTTTATTTTAAATTATGTACCTTCCCTGTATATGGTGATATTATGTTAACCATCACTTTCCTAAAGCAAAGTAAGAAAGCAAAGGACAAAAAATAGAGTAATTAATTATATTGGTTTCACTTTCCCCAAAATATGATTAACCCTTAAGAATATAAAAACATTATTAATAGGACTTGATAAAAAATGATCACAATTATAAACTTCAAAATCAAGCCATTTTTGTCTACTTTTTGTATTGCATAATATGGAAAACAGGTTTACGATGCTTACTCTTGAGTTATTCATTTATTGAACAATTTTTTATTAAGCATCTACTATAGTAGGTACTGCATTAAGTGTTGATGAACTGAAGATGAGTAAATGGCTAATTAATTATTCTTTATGCCAAAGTAACATTAGATGCTTATCTTCACAGAGTGTAATTTGTGATTGAGTACAGAATCCTAAATTATGTATTTCACTATTTAACCTATTAGGAGAACAAAGAATTCTCTTAATAAGGAGAATAATGTTTTAAATATTTTTTGTGTGACACTAGGATTTTTATTACAATTTAATATAAATACTTCATTATGTACATCATTAAATTATGAGACTAATTTATTTTGTATTTAGTGTTCATTAAGTAGAATATTTTACAAAAATAGTTTTAATAAAAGATTCATCATCTCAACTTAGTAGTTAACATTTTACATTTTGCTTAAAACTCTTAACCTGAGTATAGCATAACCCTTAGCAAATGTTAACAAGTTATTATCAAGTTTTAAAACATATTTAAATGTTTAATATTTTTTCTACACTTCAAAATTTCACTCCACTAAAGTATAAGCTACTTTTATACTGGAAATGTATTTTATTTTCCATTGAATTCCTGACATCAAGCTGAGGTTAGGCATTCAATAAATGTTAATTGAATGAGTTTTAAAGTTTTATAATATAATATCTTTTTCTTATGGAAATAAAAGACAAATTATCATTATTTTGTAGTGTAGACTGAAATGGGCTAAAGTCACCAATCTAAAAACATATTCAACTTTGAAAAAACATAATGGGACATATTTTAATAAAATAACTTGGATACATTTGTATTTAATTATAGTGTGAGTTTTCTCTATTGGGAACACTGAAAATCCCCCAGTTATCTCATCTTTTACTTTCTAGTTATTCTTCTGATCAGAAGCCCAAGGTCATGCTGTGACCCCTTCCAGGTTTCAGCTACTGAACAAGGAGACCTGGTTTAGAAAACATCTGAGCAGAGTTAACACCAAAGGGAGCCAATTCTAAGTTTGCCTATTTGTAGTAAAACAGTCTTACACGGAGCAAGACGTTTTCATTTCTCACTCTTCCTTAGTTAAATGTAAAGTCAAACGATCTTCTAACTAGAAAATGGAGATTGCCACACTACTCTTATTTTTTTCTACTCAAGGCAATTTAAAATTCAAGGATTCACAACTCATTTAAGCAAAGACCAGGTAGGGACTTTCAGTGTAGAAAACCCTACACTGAATTTGAGGAATGGAAATAAGTAGAAACTGGTCTCACAGACTGGAAAGCTGTCAGGAATTGAACTTAATCTATGTCTTTCAGAGATGACATGTCTCCCATTTGTCTTTGCTTTTGTGCTATACTTTCCTATTTCTGTAAGCAGAATGGCCTTTTCTGTTTCCTTATTGCCATTACATAACTCAAAGCTAAGAGCTATAATCCCAAAGTATATCATTGCTTGACATCCATTATTGGTTGACCATATTCTGTGTTCTTGATTTTTTTTAATTTTAATTTTATTTTTATTTTAGAGTAAGAGGGGTACAAATGCTTGTTTGTTACACAGATATATTGCATACTGCTGAGGCTGGACTTGTAGTATACCCATTACCCAATAGTGAACACTGTATCCAATAGGTGATTTTTTAACCCTTGCTCCCCTCCCAGTTTTTCCTCTTTTGAAATCCCCATTTTCTATTCTTTCCATCTGTATGTGCATATGTACCCATTGTTTAACTCCCACTTATAAGTGAGAACATATGGTATTTGGGTTTTTGTTTCTGAATTAGTTCACTTAGGTTAATGACCTTCAGTTCCATCCATGTTGTTGCAAAGACATAATTTTATTCTTTTTCATGGCTGCATAGTATTCCATGGTGTTTATCTATCTATCTATCTATCTATCTATCTATCTATCTATCTATCTGTCATCTAACTATCTGTATGTATGTGTATCTATCTATATGTGTTTGTATATGTAGTATATATGTATACCATATTTGCTTTATCCAGTGAACTGTTTATGGACACTTAGGTTGGTTTCATGACTTCATTATTGTGACTATCTTTTTAATATAATGATTTCTTTTCCTTTGTATATATACCCAAGAGTGGGATTGCTGGGTCAAATTTTTAGTTCTTTGAGAAATCTCCGTATTGTTTTCCATCGAGGTTGAACTAATTTATATTCTCACCAAAGATATAGAAACATTCCCTTTTCTCCACATCCATGCCAACATCTGCCACTTGCTTTCTAGTAATAGCCATTCTGACTGGTGTAAAATGACATCTTACTGTGCTTTTGATTTGCATTTCTCTGATGATTAGTGATGCTGGGCATTTTTTCAGGTGTTTGTTGGCCACTTGCATTTCTTGAGAAATGTCTGTTCATGTCCTTTGGCCAGTTTTTAGTGGGGTTATTTGTTTTTTCCCTGTTGAGTTTTTATTTTATTTTATTTTATTATTATTATACTTTAAGTTGTAGGGTACATGTGCACAACGTGCAGGTTAGTTACTTATGTATACATGTGCCATGCTGGTTAGTTCCTTGTAGATTCTGGATATTGGTTCTTTTTCAGATGCATAATTTGCAAATACAGTCTTCTAGATTGTAGGTTATCTATTCACTATGTTGCTTATTTCTTTTGGTGTGCAGAAACTTTTTAGTTTAATTAAGTCCCATTTGTTTATTTTCGGTTTTGTTGCATTTGCTTTGGGGTTTTTTTTCATAAATTGTTTGCCTAAGACAATGTCCAGAAGAGTTTTCCCTAGGTTTTCATCTAGGACTTTTGTAGTTTCAGGTCTTACGTTTAAGTCTCTTATCCATGTTAATTTTAGAGTATGGTAAGAGATAGGGAACCAGCTTCATTCTTCTGCACATTGGCATAGAAGGCAATTTTCTCATCACCATTTATTGAATAGGGTATCCTTTCCCATTGCTTATTTTTGTAGTCTTTGTTGAAGATCACTTGGTTGTAGATATGTGGATTTATATCTGTGTTCTATATACTGTTCCACTGATCTGTGTGTCCATTTTTGTACCAGTACCATCCTGTTTTAATTAGTTTAGCCTTGTAGTATAATTTGAATTTGAACAGAGTGATGTCTCCAGAATTGTTCTTTTTGCTTAGGATTGCTTTGGCTACTCAAGGTCTTTTTGTTTCCATATGAACTTTAGGTTTTTTTCTTTTTTTCCTAACTCTGTAAAAAATTATGTTGGTAATTTGATAGGGATTGTGTTGAATTCGTAAACTTCTTTGGGCAGTGTGGTCATTTTAACAATATATTTTCTTACAATCCATGAGTATGGAATGGTTTTCCATGTGTTTGTGTCATCTATGATTTCTTTCAGCAGTGTTTTATAGTTCTCCTGTAGAGATCTTTTATCTCCTTGGTTAAATATATACCTAAGTATTTTAATTTTTGTGTGATTATTGTGCTTGAAATTCTTAAGAGAAATAAGCTTATTGGATCAGTTCAGCCCATGCATCCCTCCCTCCACCTGAGGGTTGTATGTGTATCCTAATGTAACCAGTCATGTTCAGGGCTGTGGATTAATGTGATAACAGATATAAATATTTACACTCTCATCTAGAAAAGACACTTTAAACCCAGAAGCTCTAGATGTGGTAGATGCTGTGGAATGAGCTGTGAATGAGGCAGGTAAACACGCTAACATGACTGGTAAAATACTGTATGAATTTAAAGAGAGCACTTGCCCATGTTTACTGCATAATGGAATGTAAGTCTGTTTCCTTTCTTTTTGCATTTTTCTTCTATTGCTCTGTTTAGAAGCTTTTCAAGATAGACAACTTTAGCACAACTTTTAAGTGGTTTTGAAATTACTATTTTTGTTTCTATTGTCTGCCTGGATGGCTTCTTTTTCCTTACTCTTCCTTTTTTCCATTCTCAAATACCTGAACCCTACATAATATTGACATAAAATAATTAAGAAATAATTTTAAAAACATTTTAAGATGTAATATTTCTAAGAACTTAGTTAATATTTATACTTTTATCACCAAAATGTTGACAATGATCTTACAAACGAAGGCAGTATAGCATAGTGACCAACAGTTCAGACTTTGGAGTTAGAACACTTGGTTTCTTATATAACTTTTATGATCTTGTACAATATGCTGAATGCATTTAATTTATTATATATACTAGTCATGAACTATCACTGTTAGTACTACTAGTAGTATTATTACTACTCTCATTACTTCTATAACTAGTACTGTTACTACTAGTCAATTGTCTTTAAAGCTTGTTAGTTCCTTAGAGTTTGCACATTAATGAAACATATCTAATTGTACTCTTGTGGCTTTTTCAACAAGAAGAAGATTTACTATTTTAATCTGAGCTTCATCGATAACCTTCTGTCAACTTTAACGTACTGAATATTTGTTCATTGGGGAAATTCTATCTTCTGAAGTGAGATCCAGACAGAAACACTTGTTTCTTTATCATATGAAAGTTGTCATTTTTCAGGGCTGCATAATTGCCCTTTAAAATCTTCTCTTCTCATGCTCCACTCGAACTTTGATTGACAATTTAGAGTACTACTAGATATTTTAAAGGCAGGGAATTTTATTTTCTAGGTTTTACTTTTTATAGCTTTTACTCTTATTTAAATTTTCTTGTTTTCAATGATCTTATATAAGAAGAATAAAAACCAATAGACTATTTAACATTTCATTTCAATGAAAATTCTATGCTTTTACTGATGAATGTTTTACTGTAGTCAAAGAAATGAAGCTTCTTAATGGGCAGCCTTCTGATACAAATTTTGCTATTATAGGTCAATGTGCATCCTAGTTTCTACATCTTAATGTACCTACCATATTATTAGAGGAAAAAAAGTAGAAAGGGAGGATATAGGACTATGTTGAGAAAGAAAGCACACATCAATTTCTTTACAAAACCTTACAAAAATAGTTGCCTATTTCATAAGAGAAGTGATCATGAGTAAAATATAACTCAAACATGCACATAAATTATAAAGGCAGAACAACCTTTTCATTGAGATTCACATTGTGGCAACCCTTGATTTGCCACACATCTTGGCGCTATGTAAATATTTCTATCATAAATACAAATCAAGAGGAAGGTCTTTTTTAGATTAGCGGTAAATTTGAGAACACGTGGCAGCTCAATTGCTGGAAAAGAACATTCTCTGGTGCCTTCAGTTTTATTTCCGCAAATGGCAATCTTAATACCCACTCACTGAAGCCTTTCCAGGAAAGACTTCTTGAGCATGGCAGCTGGTTTGCAGACATCAAGACATTTAAATTCTTTCGCTGGTCATCCTCGGGAGGAGGATTATGAAACTAACGTATGGGAAACCTTACATTTACATGTAACAATTGTAATTCATGTGGACATGGTAGAGATTAGATTTTTCTTTCTCCTTTTTAAAAGCCTAATGTTATTTAACTGAAACAACTCTGTGTTGCTACAAATAGGTAAAATAAAATTACATCAGTTATAAACATTTGAAACCAAATAGAGGCTTTTTAAAATCCTAACTAAATAATCTTGTATGTTCTCGGTTGGTTGGTTTGATCTCTCTCTCTCTCTTTTTCTTTTTCTTTTTGCTTCTTTCACCAATAAGACTTGTATTCTGACAAATAGCAAGATTATGGAATATATTGTTGAAGTTACTGAATTAAGTGTTTTGCCCAAAAATAAAAATGAAAACCCAAATCTATCTAAATTTTCGTTGTTTCTAGTTTTGAAGTAGAGATCAAGTTTTGTGTTGGAATTGAGTGATTTAAAAACTAATTAATTCGTTGTCTTGATGTCATTGGTTTATTATAAATTACATACTTCTGGCAGGACTGGGCTCTCTATACAATAATTTAAAGAGAAATGATAGCTACATAAACTTACTATAATCTGTAAAAAGAGAATTAAATAGCATGTAATTCAACTACATTCATTTGGTCCTCAACTTAAAAAGAAAAGGACATCATATTACCATTTACACTGCTGTTCCTGATAGCATATTTCAGACTTTAATTTTTCAGGTTGTTATCGAATAAGAGCTAACATTAAACTTGGGACTCATTGGACAAGAAACATATAGCTAAAAAGAAGAGATTTTCAAAAAAGAGAAATCAAGTTACTAATTCATTGATTCATTTATTCAATGTGTCTTGAGAAAACACTATGCTAAGTTTTTTTGGGTATTGGGGTTGAGAAAAAGACAAAACAATACACCTTTCTCTAAGCTATTTGAATTATAGATGAAGGAATAATTATTTACATGATTAATATAACTTTATTAATATAAAATTAATGCAAAAAAGGATGTGTAAAGATGAGGTGGCATAAACATTTTTAGTAATGAACTGAACCAAAAAGTAGTATCCCCTGTTCCACATTGCTTTTACAGTATGAGTCTCTATAAAATCTCATTTTAGGCACACAACTAGAAAGAATGCCAGATGGCGGGGTGATTTTTAGATCCCATCTCAGGGTCAAAGTTGATGGCCAGATGTTACAGATCTGGAGAAAAGAGTCTAAGCCAGATGGAAAGGGCAGTTTAAACATACACACAAACATACATGCTCTGTATTTTTAAAGGGCTAGAAGTCTGGTATTTCTTTAGTAAGTCATAATCATATGTGTATTTTCTAAGTACAAGTTTTAAAAGTTAAAGATATTATTATTAAGAAAGCAACTAGTTGTAGACTTACATTGAAAGAAATTATATAATTTGATTTGTGTTGAAAATGTTGTAATATACTAACTTGATATTCAGCCAAGTGATACTGACAGTAAGTCTTGATGTGTTGATATCTATGACCATGAATCAAACATCTTATTATATTACAACAATTTTCAGAACAGTGTTCCTCCTAATTCCCATCTCATTTCATCTCTTATAAGGCAAGTTAGTCCTTGATTTGCTCTCGGTCTCTTGTGTAAACATGCTTTTCTTAGGTCTGTATATCTTTATTTCCCACTTCCTATACCAGGCATTCAAGTCAAAACCCTCTGCAGTATCCATTCCTCTGCAACACGTGGTCAGGATATTTGAAGAGCCCTCTGGAAATAAAACAATGAGATCTTAAATCAATGACAATTCACATACTTTGAATTCATTAACGGGGTATAAGAAAGTTAAGGAAATCTTCAGGGGCAAACAAAACAAAACGATCAACAAAAGCAACAATAAAAAAAAGTGAGCTGAAGGCTGGGTGTGCTGACTCACGCCTGAAATCCCAGCACTTTGGGAGACCAAGCAGGCAGATCATGAGGTCAGGAGTTCAAGACCAACCTGACCAATATAGTGAAACCCTGTCTCTACTAAAAATACAAAAATTAGCTAGGCATGGTGGTGCGTGCCTGTAACCCCAGCTACTCAGGAGGCTGAGGCAGGAGAATCGCTTGAACTCAGGAGGCAGAGGTTGCTGTGAGCCAAGATAGTGCCACTGCACTCTAGCCTGGGCAACACAGCAAGACTCCACCTCAAAAACAAACAAAAAAAAGAGTGAACTGAAACTAAGATGAGTAAAGACGTTTTTGAATGAATGTTTACATCAATATATCTGCAATAAGAAATTTCTGTAAGGTATGTTTTTTAAAAATGGGAAATGACCAGAGAAGGAGAACAGTTACAAGAAAGAATAACGAACTAAGAAACAAGTAAATTAAAATGTGTATTGTCTATATAAAATAATAGTATAGTCTAATTTATAGAGATAAGGAAAAACAGATAAATAGTAGGAGAAATCAAAATTGAAAAAATCTAAGGACCTTGTATTGTTTGGTAGGGGATGAAGACACTGAATAACTTTAGAAAAAAGTTAAATATATACATAAGTGATACAATTTCCAAATATTTTTATTCAAAGGGAAAAGATGAAAAAGAAAAAAGGCAGTCATGCCAAAAAAGTAAAATATAAAAAATTTGAAACTTAAGAAAAGACACATTCAAAATGCAAAATAAAAATGGTAGAAATGAATCCTTTGTGTCAGTTGTTATAATCACTGTATTAGGTTGGTGAAAAAGTAATTGTGATGTAGTATGCATAGAACAGGATTTTACATCATTATCCTATTATCCCTAATATTGGGTTGGTGCAAAAGTAATTGCAATGTTTGCCATACTTTTATGGCAAAATGCGCAATTACTTTTGCACCAACCTAATAAATAGGCCAAATTTGACAGGTAGAAAACAGAGGTCATCAGGTGGGATAATGATGTAAAATCCTGCTCTGTGTATACGACCTGTATATAGATAATATAAAGATGCAGAAAGATACTCAATGATAAAATTATGTAGTAATTATCCAACTCCAGAGTATAGGACACTCTAAGAACAACTATTCACAAGTCTATGGTATGAAAATGGTGCTGGAAGTGAAGGAGAGAGATCAGTTCAAGAGTAAAATGTATGCCTTTTTGCCATTTGTATCTGTATTACATTATATAAGTTTTTTTAAAAATTACACTATCCTGACCTAGTTTGGAGATCCCAACTAGAAGTCAGCCAGTTCCCTTCTTGAGCAGCTGAATAAGTCCTTACTCCTATCCGTTTTCCTTACCAGGTTCACACACTTTAGTCAGATACCAGACAATGAGAGACAGCCCCTATGTCCCAGATCTCACAAAATTATTCAACTTAGTCGATCCACAGGGAACAGAGAAACCTAGCTAACTCTGCTTGCCATACGTAAACTGCCTTTTATAGTTTTAGTTTACTGTTACTCTATCCAAAGTGCAACTCCCAAAGTGGGTCTGCCTGGCAGCCTTCTCTCATTTGGAGCTGTAAGTAACAGAAAAGTTCTGCCTTTCATCTATTCAAGTATTACCGTGTTATGGCTCTCCATCAAAAAGGTCTTTAAATCTTATAAAACACATAACAACTGTTTAAGTGTGTTTTGTGTTGTCATAACAGAACACCACAGACTGGGTAATTTATAAACAATAGAAACTCTGGAGGCTGTAAAGTCCAAGAACAAGGGGATCACATTTGCTGAAGGCCTTCTTGCTGTGCCATAACATGGCAAAAGGCATCACATGGTGAGAAAATGCACAAGTGAGCAAGAGGGGGCTGAATTTGCTTTTACAACAAACCTACTCACACGATAACTAACCTACTCCTCTGATAATGACATTAATCCATTCATGAGGGCTCTACTCTCATAACCTCACACCTCTTAAAGGTGCCACCTCCCAACACTGTTGCATCAAGAGTTAAGTTTCCAACACATGAACTTGAGGGGTCACATTTAAAGCATATCTACAACCCTAACCTTAAAGGTATGGGCATCCACATAAAGTAATTAATTCAACATGCATATTCAGGACTCCAAGTAGGAGGTGTTTTGTAGAATTTGGGAACAAAAGACCTTCATAATGAAAAAGCCTTAACATGATTGCTCTGGAGCAAACAAAGAAAATGTAGCCAGCTACTATTTGTAACTAGCTTTTTAACTTCTTAAAGGAAGCAATTATACCTTATTCCTCATGTATATGCCTAGCATAATATGAACTTAAAAACAAATACCAATCCCTTGAGTTCAGAAAATATTATAGATCTTTGTTTTTTAGATTGGACATTATGGGAGATACCTTTTAGTGTTTCATTATTTTTGTGTGAAGGATTTAGTCCTATCTAATTATATTAATTTAAGGTAGGCTTAATAGACCCTGAGGTCAAATAACATAGACAATAATTATGTTGAGTTCAGATATAAATAGTATTTTGTCATTTTAAACTAAGCTGGCTACAACTAATGTTCTTTTTCCTCAGTCTCCAGCATCTGCTGAACTTACTCTGTAGGTTGTATTGTCCTTACATTTTGGCAGAAACATAAGAGGGAACATATTTTCCTTACTGCCCCTCACACCCTTTTACTGGAAGGTTCCACTACTTTATTTGGACATTTTCCATTATACTTCTTATAGCATCCATATGCTAGCTTTTTGTGCCTATTAATGTTTTCTTTACTCTGGGCACCTTTCCAAACACACTACTTTGAAATATGGAACTTCTTATTTAGTTATATAGCCAATATCTAAAAAACCTCAACTAAGAAAAGATTTCCACCAGCATTTTCGAAGGTGCTGTTAAGATCCATCAATGCAGCCACTCAGTGAGTGTGGAAAAGAGTCTTATATCAGCTCAGGAAATCCACCCCATTAAAGCCTCTATCAAACAGAACATATCAGAAGGCACAGCATACAAACCACTATAAGGAAAAACTGTAGCCAAATTCAGCAGCAACAGATGTAGAATAAATGCACTTATTGACTAACTTCCTTGTGAGGCTATATTTGTGTTTCTACTTATTGGGTGCAGATTATATTTTCCTGCCAACAGTAAATGCTGTTGATTTAATACATGTGACAGCTCTACACCACATTGTAGCCCCATGAATGCTGGGATGGAATAGAAACATAGACTTCTTTTTCTAAGATACAGAAGGTAACCCACAGAATACACAGATACTTTTGCTCAGGAGAGGCCCATGGCTAAGAGGAACTTGTATATTGTCTTTGAAAAAAAATACAGACATGAAGTAAAAATACATTTTGGATGGGGATAAGCAACGTTGCTTCTTTTCCAGATGTCTGCCTAATTTCCTTGCCAGAAATTTCAAAGATGTGTATAAAATTTTCCTTAAAAATATGCTTACCAATGTTCTGTGAAAGAAAAAGCAAGGCACGTAATGACTTCATCATCTCAGAATGAATCATAATGGACCAAATACTGCATCATTACTCAGAAAATATGAGTCCAGAGAAAGCAGAGATCAGGGCTCTGGCTACTGGCAGAGCCATGCTGGTTAGCATGAGCAGAGGCTTTTAATCCAATTGTAAATTTTCTCCTTTGTGATGATGAGATTCCATCTCCAGCATTTAGGAGGTAAACATTTTAAAGTAACTGGTAACATCACTCGAAAATCAAATCCCAGAGATGCTGGCTGGAAGCCAAAGAGTTACCCCCGATGTATAAGAAAGTGGTTGCAGCATATAATTAGGTTAATGCTGGACTAGACTTGCTTTTGATGAGTTGGCAACTGTCATGACTGCCTTGCTTTAAGTGGGCTGGTGCCTGGAAGGAAACTATACCTATGGGACTTAGCAAGAGACAAGCACCAGAAAGCAATTGAAAAGCTGAAATTCCACAACCTTTTAAATAATGGAATCACAGAACAGAAAGGTCATCTGTTCGGGTTCCTGACGTTACATGCGTTTTAAGTTTGAAAGATAAAATTTGATCCACGCTTCATTTATGTCTCCAAAAGGAGACTTCACCATCTTCTTTGGTAAAGGTTTTAAGGTATAATATATCAAAAACTTCTTCCATATGACTTTTCAAACTCTCTTTGTTGTAGTTAAGTCTCAGTACACTTTTTTCTCATAATATATTTTTACATACGCATATGTGATTCCTTCATATTAACTGTTCCAATATCTGTACTTTTTTATTAGTCACGTTCCACACTGTGAAACTGTTAATTTTTCAGTGGTTTAAAACTGATGATAATTCCATTAAAAAAAATTGATCCAATTCTGATTAACATGGAAAATGTTACACTCTGGTTCTTGGATTTTCTATTAAAGTCTGATTACTTACAAAAATAGCATGTTTGTGGTTATCTGATACTTTGTTAATTGAAAGATACTATGAGGGACACTAAATACACAGTTTGCCCAATGCTAAATGGTTAAATTACTTAAAATCAAATTTGGATGAAAGTGAGAATTAAAAATATCAATATATAGAATAAGTTTCTGGTATATAAGAAAAAAATGCTGATTTTATATAAAACGAAACAAAATTATTATTCAATTTTATTTTGAAATATATAGAATTACATGTATATTTAAAGTTTTACACTTTACTGCAGGAGCAAAAACTTTTCAAAAATGTTAACTGCTGTAATGTCCCTTAGTTATATAATAATACTAAAAATATGAAATACATCACTTTCCAACAGCACATTTAATAGAACAGATGATTTTTTTGTGCTCTGTGGAATATAATACAGGGAAATGTTTTTCAGTAACATGTCTTCCAGAAGGAATTTTTAAACCAAAGACTCAAGCTTGAGAAAAATCTCAAGAATACATTATGAAATTTGAAAATGATTGGCAAAGTATAGCATTCATTTTGAACAGTTTTTTATTTATAGAAAATGTTAGCCTCTCCTAAGCGAATTAATGCAGGAGCAGAAAACCAAATAATGCATGTTCTAACTTATAAGGGGGAGCTAAACAATGAGTACACATGGACATAAAGATGGAAACAATAGGCACTGTGGACTACTAGACGGGGGGAAGATGGGAAGGGATCACCCACTGGGTACTATGCTCACTACCTAAGTGATGGGTCATTTGTACCCCAGACCCCTGTGACACACAATTTACCCTTGTAACAAACCTGCACATGTACCCCTTGAACCTAAAATAAAAGTTGAGAAAAATGTTAGCCTCCATAGACAGAAAATTATGAGAAATTTTCCACTTGAATTATTCTCGCAAGTACACGATTCTGAACTTCGATAAGAAAGAACAAAAATGTTGTGGGTACGTACTTTGTTCTTGCATTTTTTTCATTCCTTTAAACATTGTATTATTAATCCTGTTGCAAACCAAGTTGACTTGTCAACAATTTTATGTATATCACTTTAGAATTTTTCCTCCTACTGGATTTTTATGTTTATGTTGATATTTTTCTTCTAATTTATCATTAGGGATATAATTACCAGATAGTTTTAAAGGTGTTTTTTTTTCCTTGCAATGATCATGGCCTAAATGAAGTGAAATAACAAAATATTAAGACTTAAAGAAAATTAAATACTGTGTAATGTTATAAATTTTAGAATTCAAAACAATTCTACAAAGATTAAAAGTACTAGATAGTTCATTTTTACAGTTTTGTTTTAATATTATTTATGTTATTATAAAAATCTCCCCCCAGGCCAGGCGCGATGGCTCACACCTGTAATCCCAGCACTTTGGGAGGCAAAGGCGGGTGGATCACGAGGTCAGGAGATCAAGACCATCCTGGCTAACATGGTGAAACCCTGTCTCTACTAAAAAAAAAAAAATACAAAAAATTAGCCGGGTGTGGTGGCGGATGCCTGTAGCCCCAGCTACTTGGGAGGCTGAGGCAGGAGAATGACATGAACCCAGGAGGCGGAGCTTGCAGTGAGCCGAGATGGCGCCACTGCACTCCAGCCTGGGCGACAGAGTGAGACTCCGTCTCAGATAAATAAATAAATAAATAAATAAATAAATAAATAAATAAATAAAATAAAATAAAAAGAAAAAGAAAAATCTACCCGGGTGCCGTGGCATATGTCGGTATATGTCTGTAATCCTAACTATTCAGGATCCTAAGTTAGGAGGATTGCTTGAGGCCAGGAATTCAAGGCAGCAATAGCTATGATTGCACTATTGTGGCAATCCAGCCTGGGTGGCAGGGCGGGTCCCTAAGGGAGTCTCTCTCTCTTTCTCTCTCTCTCTCTCTCCCGCTCTCTGTCTCTCTCTCTATATATAAAATCCTTTTTAATGGTAATAAATAAATGATATAATTTAATATATAATTGTATATTTATATATTATAATTTATATTTTATATAATATAAATTATATGTTTATATTATTAAAAGGATATACTTTTCTTAAAATTTCTGTGGCCAAGCTAATGTATTTTGTCTTTTAAATTTGTATGGTTTCTTATCTCTTTGAAACATATAATTTTATTTATGCATATGGTAATGTCTTTCACAATCATGATGCATTATTGTAGCATTTCGCATGTTCAGCTATAAAGTATGCTCATATATGTGTATGTTCAGAAGAAAAACCTTGAAATAAGGTATTCTCAAATTCTAGCCACATTTAATGAATCATTCAGGAGCTATATGTCAGTCTCTACCAGGCACTTGTACGTGCTTTGATGTACAATTTTTTTTTTTAATGAAATAGTGTCCCTTCCTGGGTGTGTGTGTGTGTGTATATTTCATCTTTCGCTTTTTAATTAAAATATAATTTAGTCATTTAAACAATACAATTCACTCATTTAAATTGTAAAATTCCTCAGATTTTAGTATATTCACAGAGTTGTGCAATCATCACCACAATCAATTTTAGAACAATTCATTACTCCTAAAAGAAACTTGACGTGCATTAACAGAGTCTCCATTTCCTCTCAACCATCTCAGCCCTAGGCTGCTGTATTTTCTGTTTCTATAGATTTGCCTATTCTAGACATTTCATATAAATGCGGTCATACAATATATGGTATTTTGTGAGTGATTTATTTCACTAAGCATAATGCTTTCAGGGCTCTTCTATATTATAACATGCTTTAGTGCTTTACTCTTTTATCTTGCTGAATAATATTCCATTGTATGGAATATTGCATGTTATTTATTCAGTCATCAGTTGGTGGACACTTGCATTGTTTTCACTTTTTGGCTATTATGAGTAATGCTACTATTAATATAAATATTCATGTCAAAGTTTTTGTGTGGACACCTGTTTTATTTCTCTTAGGTATATACCTAGAAAGGGAATTGGTGAGTCATAGGGAAACTCTATGTATAACATTTTGAATAACTGCCAGATTGTTATTCACAGCAGCTGTACCCTTTTACATTCTCAGAGGCAATGTACAAGTGTTCCCATTTCTCCATACCCTCAAGACTTGCTATCGTATGTCTTTTTGCTTATAGCCATCATAGTGGGTTTTAAGTAGTATCTCATCTTTTTTTCTGTGTGTGTGTTTTCCTGATAACTGATGGCCAATCGTGTCGAGCATATTTTCATGTGCTTAATGGCCATTTATTTATCTTTTTTGGAGAAATGTCTAAATGTATCCTTTCTTCATTTTTAAATTTGGTTTTTGTCTTTTGGTTATTGTGCTATGTGAGGGCTTTTTTAAAATTTTGAATACAAGTCCCATATCAGATATATAATTTGTGAGTATTTTCTACCATTCTCTGGTTTTCTTTCCACTTTCTTGGTAAGATCACTTGAAGTACAATTTTTTAAAATTTTGAGAAAATACCTTCTATTATTTTTTATCCCTTGTGCTTTTAATGTCTTATGTAAGCAGGCTTTGCCTAATCCAAAGTCTCGAAAATTTATTCCTACATTTTTATTTAAGAGTTTTACAGTTTAATGCTTACATTTCAGTCTATGATTCATGTTGAGATAGTTTTGTGTATGGTATGATGAAGGCATTCAACCAATTGTTTTACATGTGGATGTCCAATGTCCCAATTCCATATTTTGAAAAGACTATTTTTCCCCATTGAATTTTCTTGGCACTGTTGTTGAAAATCAATTGACCGTTAGTGTAGTTGTTTATTTCTAGACTCTAAAACAGATTTCATTGTTCTATATGTCTAGTCTTAGGCCAGTATCACACTGATTACTGTAGCTTTGTAGTAAGCTTTGAAATTAGGAAGTGTGAGTCTTACAACTTCACATCTCCTTTTCATAATTATTTGGCTCTTCTGGGTCCCTTGCAATTCCATGTGAATTTTAGAATCAACCTGCCAATTTCTAAAAAGAAGGCAGCTGGGATTCTGATATGAGTAGCTCACTCACCCTGGGAGTGTCAAGAGGACACAACTTACACTAAAACTTTGAGGAACAGATTTGTAAGGGCAGCCCCGGTATCCATGGAGAACTCTGTGGTCATTCTTCTCTGTAGGTCAGAAATTGTACTGGAATCTGCTGCCCTGAACTGGAAGTATTAAGTGCAATGGGGATAATCAGATCCCATGGTGGCAGAGTCCAAGTGGTGTCACTTAATTGCAAAAGGAAGTGATTGTGCTTACTGTAAAGAACAGCAGAGTCAAAGCAGATCAGAATAGCCTGTCCCTGTAAGTGAAATAGATGAGCATTCTGTTAAATTCTCACTCGATCTTTATAGATAAAATAGTCCTAGGTCAAGTAAATAGAAGTCTAATTTCACTTATGAAAACATAGTTACAGCTTCTTGATCAATTCCCAGACTTGAGTCAGTTTACAGACCTGAAACTCTTTGAATGAAGGGGCAGTCAGGTCACCTTGAAGAAAAACCTGGATACACTGCCAAAAATCCATACTGTTACTCTTTCATCGGTTTTCTGCCAAGGAACCTGTAGACTTTTACTAGGATGACTCTGCATTGGGAAAAGAAAATAATCAGCCTTTTGGTGTATTATTGGACACTGGCTCAGATTAACACTAATTTTAGAAGACCCAAAACATTACTATGGTCCACTCACCAGTCTTACTAGGGGCTTGTGGAGGACCAGTGATCAAAGGAGTTTTAGCATAGGTCTGTCTCACAGTGGGTCCAGTGAGTCTGTAGATACATCCTCTAGTAATTTTTCAGTTCTGAAATGGATATTAGGAATATACATACTCAGTAACTGGAAGAATCACCATATTTGTTTGCTGATCTGCAAAGTATGGGCTATTAAGGTGAGAAACTCCAAGTGGAAGCCACTAAAATTGCTGTACCTAGGAAAATAGTAAACCAAAAATAATACTGTATTCCTGGAGAAATTACAGAGATGAGTGCCATTATCAGACACTTGTCGGGTTTAAATAATATGTCCAGCCCTGTCACTGATAAGACTATTTATTAAGTCAATAGAAACATTACTCACAGTGCTTTTAATATAAGTAATATTAAAACCTATTTTATCGTTTCAAAGGAAAGGAGTGTCATCTTTCCATTTCCAGTGTCATAACATGTAGTTACAAAATACTAATCTGTATACACATTATATATGAAAAAATATGTTATCTTATATACCTAGAGTACTAGAAAATGCTTAACTTCCACACGTCTCACTAGTATTCTTTGGCAAATATTTGTTGAATGCACATTCCTTTAAAAATCAAAACCATGGGATTAGTTATCTCCTATATTAATTTCTTGTTGTCACCAGAGTAGAATACCAAACATTTGTAAATTTGTTGTTCACATCAAGCAATATCCATTTATTATCTCTCAATTTCACTGGGCCAGAAGTCTAGGCACCATGCAGCTTGGCTGCTTCTCTGTTCTGCATTGCAAAAGGAACACATCAAGTTGTGGGCAAGACTATTCTTTCATGGAGGATCTAGTGACAAATCCATTCCCAAACTAATTCAGGTTGTTGTCAGAATTCAGTTTGAGTGGCATTATTTTACATTTTAGCAACTTTCTATAATATCTGGCAGTAAAAAAGAGCAAGATTCTCCTGTCATCTTCTGTCACATTGCACAGAGAAGGGTGCCTCTAAAAAACTCCACTGTACACCTATGTATGAATGAAGGTGAAAAGGCAAATGATGCATTAGTATTATTAATATATTTTTGACCTTATGAATCCACTGAATGGACTTGGGGTTCCCAAGGGGTCCACAGAAAACACATTGAGACCCACTTTTCTAGTGGAAAAAGAGATAAAAAGATTATTTAGTGGAGTGACAAGTGAGGAAAAGGATCACACAAAGTGTTCACTTGTAACTAAGTCTCTAGCTTATCATGCTATAGAGGGCATCATTCTCAACCTTAAGTTGTCCTTCCCAAGCCAGAGCATAAGAGGAAAGGACAACAATAAATTCCAACATGTATTTTAATTTACTTTAGAATGAATTTAAGAAGAAGTAGTTGTGTGAGAAAATGTATCAAGATTTTCTATTTCCTTGATCTTTAACAAATTATTCTTGTATTTTTTTGACCTGTAGTTGGAGAGGCCAATGCTCTTAGGTTTTCAAACTATCATTTAGAACCAACTGCTCCTCACTAAAACTCATCATAGCAGGAGCTAGGTTTTCTACTAGCAGCTGGTTTAAGTTGCCACCTACCTTCTACTTATAATAAATTTTCAATAATTTTGTTTATTTGTTTTTCAACTTTTATTTTTATTTCAGGAGTACACATGCAAGTTTGTTATATATTAGATTGGTCCAAAAGTAATTGCAGTCTTTGCCATTAAAAATAATGGAAAAATGACAATTACTTTTGGACCAACCTAATAGGTAAACTCATGTCAAGGGGGTTTGTTGTACAGATTATTTCATCACCCAGGTTCTAAGTCTAGTGCTCAACAGTATTGTTTTTTTGCTCCACCTTTTCCTCCCACCCTCAAGTAAGTGCCAGTGTCTGTTTCCGTGTGTTCTCATCATTTAGCTCCCACTTATAAGTGATGACGTGCAGTAATTTGTTTTCTGTTCCTGTGTTAGTTTGCTAAGGATAGTGGCCTCCAGTTCCATCCATGTTCCCACAAAAGACATAATCTCATTATTTTTATGGCTGCATAGTATTCCATGGTGTATATGCACTACATTTTCTTTATACAATCCATCACTGTTGGGCATTTAGGTGGATTCCGTGTCTTTGCTACTGTGAATAGTGCTGCAATGGACACGTGCGCATGTGTCGCTGTATTAGAATGATTTCTAATCCTCTGATATATACCCAGTAGTGGGATTGCTGGATTGAATGGTAGTTCTGTTTTTAGGTCTTTGAGGAATTGCCACACTGCTTTTCACAATGATTGAACTAATTTATACTCCCAATAACAGTGTATAAGTGTTCCCTTTTCTCTGCAACCTGGCCAGTGTCTCTTATTTTTTGACATTTTAGTAATAGCCAATGTGACTGGTATGAGATGGTGTCTCATTGTAGTTTTGATTTGCATTTTTCTAACAATCAGTGATATTGAGCTTTTATTCATATGCTTCTTGGCCACATGAGTAATTTATTTTAAAAAGCTTAAAGCCATTTCTCTTTTTCTCAACAAAAACAAAGGAAATACTGGGCAGCTGTATTAGTCCGTACTTATGCCGCTGTAAAGATCCTGCCTGAGACTGGGTAGCCTTTATGCAAAGGAATTTTAATTGACTGACAGTTCTGCAAGGCTGGGGAGGCCTCAGGAAACTTACAATCATGGCAAAAGGGGAAGCAGGCATCTTCTACACAATGTGGCAGGAGAAAGTCTGAGTGTGTAAAGGAGGAACTGACAAATACTTATAAAACCATCAGATCTTGTGAGAACTCACTCACTATCATGAGAATAGCATGGGGAAAACTGCCCCCATAATCCAATCCCCTCCACCAGGTCCCTCCCTTGACATATGGGGATTATAGGGATTACAATTAAAGATGAGATTTGGGTGGGGACACAGCCAAACCATGTCAGCAGCTGAACATGATCTTTTAGTGGGTGTGTACTTAAAATAATTTTCTCCATGATTGCTGACAAACTGCTTTCTGGCCTCAACTCTTTTATTCAGAGTCCTGTTAGAGTATTTAGTTCCTGAATATGATTACCTTAATCCTGAGGGGAAAAATGAATAAATGAATGTAACGTTCATATACATTTCATTCATTGGAATGACATTTTTTCATTCACATTACTAGTTGTTAGGCCCTATAATTCACAATTTCTTTTATCTTCACCTATAACAAATGGCCCTGTGAATTATTTATTTACCCGATGTAATACCAGATTTCTCTACTTTATTAGCTGGTTTATAAACCAGAAAATTAAGAGTTGTCTAGCATCCTTTGTGAATCATTTTAAAAAGTTGATGCTTTTAGAGCAGATGGGAAAAGAGCAACAGATTAGGAAATGTGCACAGAGATACAGCATGTGATGTTGGGCAAAATATGTTTCAAAAATAAAATCAGTTATGCTTTTGGTGTAATAATAAGCTCTTTCCCCATTTATTTTCATTGATTCATCAGTTATTTGGTTATTTATTAACAGCTCTTGATCTTGGATCCTGGGTCAGGCACTGGGCTGGGCACTGAGAATACATTTGTCAAAACACATACAGTCAGGCCTTGGTAAGTTCACCTTAATCAAGGGCATTTCAAGCTGGTAGCATGCAGCCTAAATCCAGCCTAGAGACATCCAAAACAGTGTGCTTTCTTTTTGTTTTTGATTGTCTTATCACTTACAAAGTTTTATCACTGCCCATAAGCCACAGGTAACTGGCTTCTAAGCCATATTCTAGTTAGCGAAGCAAGCACACCACAGAAAAGGTAGTTTCCTTGAGATGCTTTCATTGTACTGGGGGAGGTAGGCAAACACAAAATTCGTTGGGAAAGGCACTGTAATTTTGTGAGATCATTGTCAAGGGAGATGCTAAATCTTTGGTGGGAGAAAGAGTTGGAGAAGATTTTATAGAGGTACCATTTGAGCTAGAATTGTAGCATTTTTAAAAGGCACAAAAGCATCTTCCAGGCAAGGGCTGAGAAACACTGCAGATCATTGTATGTTTGGGAGAGTACCAATTATTATAATAAAAGTGGATTTTAGCCTGCACAGGAGGCTGAATAGTGGGAAGTGGCCAGATATAAAAGTGAGGGGACTATAGCTTGGAATAATGTCAGTGTATGCAAGGCTATGAAAAAGATGCTAAGAAAAAATGTAAATAGAGGAGTGGTTTCAGATTTGGGCTTCAAGTCAAATCCATGGGTGATTAATATTATGCAATGTAGAAATCAACATCCTGAATATTCCAATAACATTGAAAACTCTTCTACTCAGAGGAGAGACACATAAACAAAATATCGAGCTTGATTTGGTTATAAAGTGTATTAGTCCACAGCATTAACTACCCAATACAATATGCCCATTGTCAATCATTAAGCATGAAGAAGGACTCAGCTATCTATGTTCAGTTTCAATATTACAACCTAACTGCTCATTTGTCTACATAGCTTTTGCTTGAGCAGGAAACTCAGCTATTTAGATTCAGTATACTTTAAAATATTATCACCATTAGGCCTGACTCTGTATGTAGAATCTCCGAATTCCCTTAATACAAATACTTTGCATTAAGCTATGTATGTAGTCTCCTACTAAAAGCATATATATGGCACAACGTAGAGATAACATAGTGATCTTATTAGATAATATTTCCAGGATGTAGAATATTTTATAACATTATTATTATTATTATTACTATTATTATTATTATTATTATTGAGACGAAGTCTCACTCTGTTGCCAGGCTGGAGTGCAGTGGCACGATCTCAGCTCGTGGCAACCCCTGCCTCCTGGGTTCAAGCGATTCACCTGCTTCAGCTTCCTAAGTAGCTGGGATTACAGGCGCTTGCCACCATGCTTGGCTAATTTTTTTTGTATTTTTAGTAGAGACAGGGTTTCACCATGTTGGCCAAGCTGGTCTCTAACTCCTGACCTCAAGTGATCCACCCACCTCTACCTCCCAAAGTGCTGGGATTACAGGCATGAGCCACAGTGCCCAGCCATAAAATTATTTAAGTAGTCATTTAGAAAGGCTTTGAGAGTTTGTGGCATTCTTTAGGGATAGATACACATTAAAAATTTAAAATTCAAAATGCATATACATTATTAAAAATTCAAACTAACACTGTTATTCATTTCCACATAAATTGTTTTTTATTAACCATAAAAATTTGTTATAAAGAAGCTTTCTTTAAATCAATTTTTAGCTATCAACAAAATGATACTCCAAGTTTGTTGCTGTTTGATAATCAAACTAATGGGTGGATATATTTCTGAAATGTTATATAATGATGTGTAGCTGTTTGTCATTCTGTTTTCTTCTCCTACCTGGGAATATGAATGACCTGTTTTTAGACTCTCTTGCAGTAAGATGTTGCCTGTAAATAACTACTGGCCACAGAATGGCAGTGAAATGATACATGCAACTCAGACTATCTGTGTGATTACATTTCCATCTACAAGCTGGATTTTGATGCCCAAGTTCACCTGAGAGAGCATGAGTTGAAAGTATTACAGCTTCCATAACCTGAGACCCTTTAGGGCTTCCAGGAAAATACGTCCCTTCTCTACTCCTCCCCACTCCTCATCAGCAACACTTCATTGAACTTTACATGGACTAAAGTAAACAAACAAGCAAACAAACACATTTTTATTATAATATGCTACTGAGATTTCAGGAGTTACCTCTTCTAGCAACTATCCTTACCCGGCCTTGAACTACTTGTAAAAAACGCTAGAATTGTGGATGTGTTTAGGAGATTGAAGTTGCCCAGGGACAATTTGTAAGCAGCATGTTAGGTTTAACTTTGGGACTAACTTTGACAAGTTCAGGGAATATCAATGATGGAGGCAGTGGGATCTTGTAGGATCTGGAAAAACTTTTTCTTTTCCCCATTGCTCATCTAATTGATAGGATTAGGGAATTCACATGAGTTTTATTTATTTTCTTGTAGTGGAGAGGAGGGCTCTGAATTATTATGCATTTGTGAATCCCTCCTACTGGTAATATGGTGGGTTTCCTTTTCTTTGTTGTTTTGCAAAACCTGAAAAATTACTCTGCAAAATTTTAGGTGTGTTGTGTATATGAATTAGTATTCCAAAATGTCCCTGGACAATTGATTTAGCTCCAGGTTCTTTTTTTGATTTGAGATTCTAGTTTTACACCGTCATGTGTCTTGAATGTTTTAAAAAAAGGAACAGCAACAAAGACAACCACCTTTAGTTCACAAAATATAAATTAAAAGATTGACGCTTCCTAGAAATACTAGCATAAATGGCATTTAATAATTAAAGCAAGTTTCCTCTCACTGTTCTCTATCTCAGATTCTTGTTTGTTCCCTTCATTTTATACACTAAATATGGACTTATTTTAATTGTTTTCTTTTTAAAGTTTGTCTTATTCTCACCGTAATGCACATCAGAAGAGGTCTTGTACCCTTTTTTATTTTATTCACAGTTGTGTCCTGGGACTTAACCAGAGCAACCAAAGCATAGTAGAAAATTAATAAATATTTGTTAAACATATTAATTTAATACACTAAAAAGTATTTTCTTAATATTTACCACTAGAGGGCATTTTTCTTCTGTCTTAAAATTCTAGTTCTTGAAAGAAAAAGCCTTTTTTTTTTTAAAGCTGAAGGTACTGAGTACCACTTTATTAACTTGTAAAGATAAAATATTTCAACCATCTCAAGTTATGAAAAGCATATATTCTTTATGGCACATATTAGCTTAAAATACATAAACATTCATATTCTACAGTAACATCAGCTCAAATTTAAAACATTGCTCTAATAAAATATTCAGATTTTAAAATTTAGATTAATATATCAGTATTTTAACACATAGACATACACACATATAGGATTATGTAAAATATTTCAATGATGTAAAATAGACATGATGGCCAAACACTATATATTTTGTAGCATTTTAGTTATCTAAAAGTATAATATGGATTTGATAAGATTTGATAAGAGAGAAGGATATTTTGATTAAGTTAAAGAATAAAGCCTTTTTCTATAGAAGAGGACAAAACAAAATCACATGGTCACAACAGGGCTGTCTTTCAGCTTGAATTGCTGTTTGGGTTTCTCTGGAAGCAGGAGATGGAGTTCCTGCAAAGTGTTCACCAGGGAATACTATTGGGGTCATCCCATGTGGACAGGAGGGTAAGAAAGTAGGACTGGGCCAAGACAAAGTCCAAACTCAAGGTAAGAAGTTGAAGTTGACAGGAATCAACCCTCCAAGAAGTTCTGGAGCTACAATGGCACATCAGAGGAGTCCCAAATTAAGTCAAACTGGCTGGCTTTTATATTCCTGACCCCAGCAGTCATCAGATGTGGGTGGACAGGGGAACTGGAGCAGTCAGTTTGCTGTAGCTGAGGAATCTCTGAAGAAGCCTGCAACTGAAGTGTGAGGCAGGGAGTCCTCGGAAAGGAGCTCTGGGAAGGGCCTGGCTACAACTATCACAACTTAGTTTTGTGAAAAATTTATGGGAAACGAGGGTTAGGTGGGGGCTGTGGAACTGGCAAGTATATTTAGAAACACAGTACATATTGTAGATGGAATAGAATTGTTTCAATGTAATAATTTTTTACTGCATGGATGTTTAAATGACATTATTAAAAATTAAAGGTCAGAAATTGAGAAAAAAGTGTAAAGTGTCCATGCATAAATTAGGTTTTAAGTAGAAGACGTTATGAAGATAATTTAACATTAATAAAACAATTTTATAATTTTGTTATATTTTTGATATACGCTTGCTCTAATTTGAATGTTAATATTAATGTCCTTGAGTAAAGAACATGGTTTTTTTTTTTTTTTAGACGGAGTCGCGCTCTGTTGCCCAGGCTGGGTGCAGTGGCGCGATTTCGGCTCACTGCAGGCTCCGCCTCCCAGGTACGCCATTCTCCTGCCTCTGCCTCCCGAGTAGCTGGGTCTACAGGCACCCGCCAACACGCCCGGATAATTTTTTTTTTTATTTTTAGTAGAGACAGGGTTTCACCGTGTTAGCCAGGATGGTCTCGATTTCCTGACCTCGTGATCTGCCCGCCTCGGCCTCCCAAAGTGCTGGGATTACAGGCGTGAGCCACCGCGCCCGGCCAAGAACATGTTTTAACCATCAAGAATTTCCACACTACTTAATAGCTAATTTACCTAAAGGAATTTACAATAAAATATAAATAACTATTTAGGAAATGAAGCAAAAAGACCCTCTCTTCACGGTAAAATTAACTTTGCTGTTAATGTTCTCTGTCAAAATACATCCCTTTGTCCTCCTTCTTCCCCTTTCATCCCACTTTACTTTTTAGAGTGCATTTTTACTTCATTTTATGCAACTGGAAGTGGAGTAATATCTTCATGAGGAAATGATATTTTTAGCTATTCTGTAATTCAGCTTCAAAGAAATGAAAATTCTTTGAACAATAATTTTCTTTCCGAAGAGATTCAAAGCCTTCTGTATGTGCTCAATGTTGTTAACCAGCAGATGGCACTCTTGCTCCTCGGCAGTGAACCTGGAGGCTTTGAAACTTGTCAAGAGTGTGGGTCAAATATCTTCCTTTGAAAGAAGTATAATAAAGAAGGCGCCTTCAGCCTGTATATCTGAACCAATAGAGATTCTTTATGTGCAGGTGCAACTAATCCTTTCAAGATGTAATGAAGCTCAATAAATCCTCCTTTTGCAATATCTTCACTGGTCTTTCAGGCTGATTCTGCTTTTTGTGAGAAGAAAAGTGCAGAACAGCTCAGCACAATGCTACATGTTTAAGCAATAAGGAGACTGACCCATTGTCTCATGTCAAGCTGCCTGGGACGCAATTTCCTTTTTCCTGTTCTCAAAATTAGCTGATGAGAGCAAGTTCCCTAGGTGAGCATAAGTTCCCCATATATATTTTTTTCTTTCTTTCCTGAAGTAAGGTGGCCAAAGAACTACGCCTTCGCTAGCTGTTATTCTCCATTTTATGTGCTGGGAAAGTCACTTGAGCACAAGAAGTTATTTTTCATATCTACATCACTGCTTCTTATTAATAAAACAAAGTACTTACCTGTTATTCGTTTTCCTTTTAGCCATTTCATAAATTCTGAAACTACCCATTGGAAATATTCAGAACTCTTATTAACACAGGGATTGATAGCATGCAAGTTTGGTGTTTTGTTTTTTTTTTTGTACAGGTAAATTATTGTTTGTTTATTTAGTTATATCACAAAAGATAACAAACCTTTTGGACAGCATATTCAGTACCAATCATTTCATGTTAGCATTTTTTTGCCATTTTTTAGGAAATCTCAAATTCTCAGATGTAGTTAGCTAAGAATATTATTGCTAACTGGCTATGTCTATAAGAAATAATATAAATGATAATGAAATAGGACTTTACTTTTAGTTCAAGAAAATTACAATATCAGTAATATCAATTGATAAGCTATGAGTCTTAGCCCTTCATCACACTCTGTTTGGAAAACCAGCAGTTGCTTCTGAGAGTGGATGAAAAACAAAATGAGAGGAAGGCTGCAATTACTCATATGACAATTACTTGTATTTGGTGTTGGCGTCGTCTGCCCTTAATATTCTTCCATTTTTCTACTGTCATTGTATTGATACTAAAACATGCTGCCAAAGACAGGATTAAGAGGTCTGGAAATAGCATGTTGAGCTTACTCCAAGCCATTCCTCTTTATGACTGTATGCTAGTGATAAAGACAGGAGACAGAAATACTGGGTAGAAGAGGGCAGTTTCCCAGCAAAGGCCCCACCCTCAAGCCTGGAAACCCGTGGCCCTAAATGAGAACAGGTATTCCTGTTTTCACGCCCAAAAAGTTGCCTTTTGGCCTGCTATGCCCCCTATCCTGTGCCCACATAAACTCCACATCCCAGGCTCCAGAAGCGGCCGAACAGATGAAAAGCAGAAATGCAGGGCATTTCGAAGGAGAGAAGAGAAGGAGTGTCTGAATGCCGAGAGGAGTTTGTCTGGGGACTATTGGAAAGGAGGTTGGCCACTAGACAGCCAAACTCCAGGGGAAGATCATCTCCCCACTCCATTCCCCTCCCAACTCCCCATCCATTCTGTGGAGAGCCACCTCCACCACTTACTAAAACCCCAGCTTTCACCCTTCTAGTCTGTGTGCGACCTGATTCTTCCTGGATGCTGGATTGGACCTGGGTGCCAAGAGGGTTCACTGAGCTGTCTAACACTTAAGCCATCCGTGGATGGCAAGACTAAAAGAGCGCACTGTAACTCAGGCCTACTTGGGCTTCAGGAGTGTCAGACATCCACTCCTAGATGCTGCCATGGGGCTGGAGCCCAAAAGCGCTCCCCTTGGTTCCTGCACCTGCCCGTCTGCGTGCTCGCCCTCCCATAAAGGGTTTGAGCTTGTTCAAAGGAGAGAGTTTGAGAGCTTGTTCAAACAGAGAGCCACACCCGCGTGGCAAGTCCTGTGAGGGTGGTCAAGGAACTCTCCCAACTCACTAGTAAACTGAAAAGCCAACAACACAAAATACATTTTCCAGGTAGAAATCAGAGAGAATTTTTTAAATGTTAAATACTGAGTCCACTTCTTGCTTATTTTCAAATTTTCACACATTTTCAAATTGGATTTAGAATTAAAATCTGTATAAATTCCTATGTTACATGAATCTTGAATTCCTTTCTCACCTGTCTCCTACCCTTCTATCCTTAGTCCATTGAGCTTTAGCCTCATTTTGGGTTCCTTAAATTTGCCACACTTAGGAGTTTTGTTGCCATTTCTTCTATTTTGAGCATTCTTCCTGTTTTTCTTTTTTGTGGCTAGCTCTTTATTTTCATGTGAACCCCAGAATCAGTCTCATTCATTGATTTTCTATGATATAATTATCTTCCTAATTCTTTACCTCCAATGGATCACTGCTGTATTAGTGCTGCCATAAGAAATTACCACAAACTAGATGGTTTACAACAACAGAAATTTATTCTCTCACAATTTTAGAGACCAAAAGTCTGAAAGCCAGGTGCTGAAAGGGCCATGCTCTGTACAAAGGATCTAGAAGTGAATTCTTCCTTGATTCTTCTGGTTTCTGGTGGCTCCTGGCATTTTTCACCTTTTGGAAGCATAAGTAATTCTGCCTCCCTCCAAGCTCACATGGCCTCTTCTTTATGTGTGCCTCTCTGCATCCTCTCCTTTTCTGATAAGGGCACCAGTCATTCAATTTAGGGCCTACCCCAATCCAATGTGACCTCTGCAAAAACCCTACTTCCAAATAAGGTCACATTCTGAGGTTTGGGTAGACATGGATTATGGAGGGATACTATTCAACCCACTGTAGTCACTATTTGATATTTTTCTTGATTTATGTATTGTATACTTAATTGTTATCCTTACTTAATCCATGACAACCACCCTGAGACAAGAAACATTACCTACATGCTTATGTGCTATACTGATATATAAGAGATATTTAACAAATCTTTTTTCTTTTTAATGAAGAAGCGATGGTTCCAATACTCATAGCCTGAAGCTCTCAAACATTTGAATCATATAACTAATTCCTTTTGTCCTGATTTCATGGTAAATAGAAACCTCCCATTGTATGCTTTTCTATCTCATTCACAGTTATATTTATCATTGCAAATTAGTAAATTATCATTCTGCTTTCCACATTGAATTTTGTACCCTAGATTCAGCATCTCTGAGTACATAAGCTCTGGAAATCTGGCAGATCAGATTTCTGAGCATGTGAGGACTAGATAATGGGCCTTGTTGAATACAAGATTATTCTACTTTGTGTGGCTTTTTAAACATTAATTTTTAGAATATTTCCTGGAGATACCCTAAACTTACTGAAGCTGCTCTTTATTCAAGTAATAGGCAATAGGCAATGGAAACAGAGGAAAACCAGCAGAGGATAAAGATAATACCATAAATCCTAGAATGCTCTTTCAATTTTATAATAGGCATCATAGATTCAAGCTCTTCCTCTTCTCTATGAGGGTGTGTGTGTGTTTTAAATTCTTGTTATTGATATCCTATCACAGAAGGTTGCATCCTTGGCTGGATATAAATGTCACTTGAGAAGCTTTTAGAAATCCTGATCCTCCGGCAGCACCCTGAACCAATTTTATCATAACACCTAAGGGTGAGACTCAGCACTTTTTTCAGCACTAAAGTTGAGTTCTCAACACTTTTATTCTTTAAAAATATTTGGCAAATAAAAAATTGAATATATTCAAAGCCAATGTAAACCTACATATACATTGTCTACCGATCTCCACAGTCAAATTAATTAACACATCCATCACCATAGATAGTTTCGTTTTTAAACAGATTCCCATACAAAAACTGTTGATAATCACTGTTCATCTAATCTGTTTTCTTGAGTTCAGGTTCTCCTGTTTTATTTTTAATCTTTCGTAGGGCAGATACTTTTAGGGTGTCTTGTGATTCTGTTGAAGTGTTCTTATTGGTAGTTCAGCTTCTCTTTCAGGCATTTGGTTATTTTAGCTCAGTAAGTCTGTCTGGGGTGGAACACTCAAACCACGGCTGGCCCTTTTACTACCCACAGTTTTCAGTGATTCTAGCAGAGGGGCAAGATTAGCCTTAGACAGAGGCTAACCTGCTCTTCTTTCTTTCATTTTTTCTCAAGCATTCCCAGCTGCCTATGGCCTCGTCTTCTGTCTCCGTCCATGGAGTTCTAGCTGGCGACAAACACGAATGCTATAGATTGTACTGGTGGAGAAGTGTGTGTGGTGTGAGATGGCAGAGGAATAGGAAATGGGCTTGGGCTGACAGACTATTCCTTTTGTGATACCCCAGTTAATTCTAATGTGCGTGCTCCAGCCTCCTCTCACTGCAGGCCCTACCATGGAATTTCTGTGGCTTTGCTCCTATTAAGTTTTGAAAATCACACTCTTCCATAAGTTTGATGAGCTGACTTTCTTCTGCATGATCAAAGTTTGTCCCTTTTCAGTCTCTTGGGAATAACTCTGTTTTGATCTTCAGAAACTTTACTTACCACTTCTGAGCATTACCCTACATCTATGCAACGTTTAAAAACATAATTCTTAAAAAAATATTTAGTTCTAGGGTTTAATATGAGTGAAGGGGACTGTGGCGTGTCCTCAGTGTGCCTTTTTGATCAATGCTATGGTGCAATATCAAGTTTTCTACACTTGATACTATACTACGTATATGTATACACTCACACCCGTTTGTTGTTCATACTCAAATACAGCACTCTCATTTTAAAATATGTGTTAAAGTCTGACATGTTTCTAATAGTAATGTAATTACAAATCAACCAATTAAACACTCATTGAGTACCTACTACTATGTGTCTTGAACTATGCTTGCAGCAACAGACATAGAGACAAATCAGATATGTCATTTTTTTCCCAAAAAGCTCACCATCTGAGTTAAGATGCCAGTCAAATTAAAATGTAAAGTATATGCTGTATGGGCATATAAAATAGAAAGTGCTGGAACAGAGACATATGGGAAGCTTTTCTGAAGATAACAAAACATAAAATAAGTAAAATGGCCTATGCCCTTGAAGGATCAAAATTCGGTATCTGTCATTACTTTTCTGGTTTGTGTGAATTGTCAGTGTCCTCTGCGTTCTTCATCTGAGTTCAGGGAATTTTACTGGGAGGATAGTGGTGCTTTTGTTAAGGCCTCATAATTGGAGTCATCTGACTTCCTATGGACATGGTTATCTGAGCACTAGAAGCCTCTGTTAGTTTTCCATTCCTTATACACTTTGACATTGCCTATTTGTCTTGTGAACTGTGTTAAATTTTTGCTTAAAATGTGTCACTCTATCTTAGCTCAGTGTCAGACTGACCTGCCTGCTACCATTGTTTCATTGGTGACTAATCTACGTGGCAAGTGCATTTCGTCAATGGTGTTATTGTGTTCTTTTTGCCTGGGGTCACTATATTTGATTTTAGAAAATATCATTTTATTGCTGTTTTTCATACATACTTACCCCATAATAGTTTGAGTAAACTATGTCAATTTATTGGCATTAAAGTGGCTTTTCTTTATCCAGATCTTATTGGAGAATCTTGTGTTGTTTCATGACTAAACTCTTCTGAGAAAAATACATTTTCAAAAATTGTTACAACTTAATTGTATGAAAGTGTTAAGTGGTGGTTTCCTTTTTAATATCAGTTATTTTGATATATTGCATTAGCTGGTGATTGTGAAAAATAGAGAAATTACTCTACATAACATCATTGCAGACCGACGTGTTTTATGACATTTCATATATCTTTCTAAAAATTGTAGTTGATAAACAACAATCAATCCTGATATTATTTTCTGCAATTTTGCACAAATGTTTCAATATTCCTTTGTTTTCCTATTTCATTTTTGCATTTAATATTCTATAAACTTGATCAAGGCAATAAAAATATTGTATTAATTAGAAAGTACTGACAAATTTGAGGAACTATTGAGAAGTTGTGAATTAAAATATTTACATTGCTAGTTTAACTGCAGGGTCAGCTTTTGCCCAAGTATTTTGGTAGTGGATATCTTTATTATGTAGGTAATTGCAGATACATAACTAACTAACATTCAGAGTTGAGTTGGTTGGCAGTAAGTAAGAAGCCCAGTCTATTTTATATTTTTCTTTTTAGAGATGTGAGTCTCACTATGTTGCCCATGCTGGACTCGATCTCCTGGACTCTAGAAAACCTCCAGCCCCAGACTCCCGAGTAGCTGGGACTACAGACATTCATGCCCAATAGAAGCCCATTCTATTTTAAATGTAATATGTTTTAAATACTTTGGGAAATAATTCACCATTTTTAAAACATAATTTTGTTATATCCTAATGGGAAAGTCTTTTCCTCAATTTCGATTTGACTCTTTTTAAAGTTATTCCTTATTTTTAAAATATTAGGTGCTATAATAATACGTAATTAAGATTAATAGTCTCTCATTTTAAAAGTAGAGGAATTAAAGTTTTTATAAATGTACCTCTCATTTGAAACCACAGTCATTTGGAGAATTCATATAATATCAGTTTTCTCAGTTAACAAAGAATTTGGGAGAATCAATCCAAGTAAGAAAATATAATATTCAACTCCACTGGGATTTCAGAGTTAAGAGATAGTGGCAGAAAAGAGGTGCTGTTAAGAGAATGTTCCTGAATAAGTAGATTGTCTACGTTTTTCCACGTTACTCTGTCCCACTTACTCATTTAGTTTTATATTACTTCCTTTCCCCTATTAACTAGATTTCCCCTCAATTGCCTATGAGAAAGCTAAGAAAGAAAAGCATTTTCTCATGATATTGTTTCTAACAAGGAAGGCCTTGGAGGCTAAAGAAATATTTTTTAGGTGAAGGTTTATTTATTCAACATTTGCAGATGTACTCATTCACTTGTTAATTTTGGTTCTCCATCAGTGAAATATATTATAATTTTGTGATTTATGGTACCTACTTACCTTTTAATAAAAATAGGTGAATTTAAGCAAATGAACTAAACTCATGTGTGGAATCTACATATGTCAAACACTTTGACTCTATTCATGTAATTATGACCTCAAATAGCATTAGTTAAGTTTTACCAACTGACACTGATGGAAACTATCATAGATTTACAATGTGTCATTTTTTTCTTTTCCTGAATGTTTTTCATTTGAAGAAGGACAGATGTTGAGATTCAAACTGAGTGGGGCCAGTTCTCAATTAAGTAGTTTCCACTTGATTATATGTTCATGGCATAATATTTGCAAGTGCAAAGTTCTTACATGGTTGGGTTAGTTAGCTAAATTTTATGTTATGATAAGATACAGAGGAGTTTGTCTCATATTAAAGGATTTCTGTGTGTTATGACAGTTTAGAGTATATGCACATGTTCTGGAACATTAGAGGTTCTCAATATTTGTTGAATGAATAAAGTAAGGTGTGTATTATCATCAAAATTTAATAACAGTGGTAAAAGGAAATGATTATAGCACAAATAGTGGAAATATCAAATTATATAATAATCAGTTTTAGTACTTATAACACATTTTATCCTCCTACTTGGTATATCTGCCATTCTGGGTACTTTCACCACTTCAGTTTGTATATTGAAGCCACTTTGAAAAGACTAATTTTCAGCCACAGCTGCAGAACGGCTTGACTGTTTTAGCCTGCACACTAATACTGACCTGTTACTCATTTTATAGAGCTATCACCATCACTTGTCAGACTGATTCAAATCATTAGCTGAAATAGCTTACTCCTTTATGTCTTTTGATTTTGAGTTTGTGAATTGTCGATTGTGAATTTCACCACCGTTGAAAGTGAAGAAGGAATAAGATGTCTTTATTCCATCCTTCCTGATTCATTCAGGTGCAGCCATCCCCACTTAGCTGTATCTAACCACCTACCAGAACATCACTAACTCCATGTCTTTAATTTTTCTAACACTTACAATGTGTTGTGCATAACTTTGTGTTGAAGTGAAGTGATGCTTTCCATGATTTACTATGTGGTAGGAAGTGTGATTTACACATTTAGTACATTGTGTTTTTAAGATCTTTACAGAAACACTGTAGATAACTCTTTTTATTCCCATTTAGCAAAGATGATAAGTAGCTTGTTAGTAAGTAGTAATGACAGGCTATATCTTTCATTCAACAAATAGTTGTTAAGCACTTACTATGTATAAAGCACTTTGCTTAATGCTAAAGAAAACTGTGGGAAAAACAGATATGCTAGATATATACTTGTTTAATGTTTTATTGTGGGTTTCACACACTGAACTGTAAAAGCCTTTAGTGTAGGAATTTTGCCTTTTTCTCTTTCACTACTAAATCCTCAACATTTAGAAACATTTTTAACATAGAGTAGTAGCCCTCATAAAACATTTACTGAATGAATGAATGACCAAAATATGTCCTCTTGGAGTGCTGACATATGGGTCAGAGGTCTGGACGGGATATCACCTGCAGAAGCAATTCCTCGCTCAGGATTCCAAATCCAACTTAAAAATGAGAGGCGATAATTATAATCTATTTTCTATGCTCATTATCTAACCTCATCAATTGAGTTTTGTCAAATATTAGATAAATTTAAGATTCTGTCAAATTTTTCCAAAATGCAAAAGGAAGAAGGCAAAAATCAAATAAGGAAAGGAGATTTCACCACTGAAAGTAGGACTTTTAACAGTTGGAAATAACTTCAATGCGATTTATAAAAAGCTTTTACTTCATGCAAGGAAATCACACAGGAATAGGTCCCCAGGGAAAATGTCAGGTGCAGGTGGCCTAAAATAATGGAGCTTTTAAGTTTCTATACTCATTTGGAATCCTGTAATGTTACATTCTTCAAGATAATGATGCATGGAGATGCCTTTCAATTCATAAATAAAATGTCAAAAACAAAAATTGCCACGAAATTCAAACAGGCATTTTATGATGTGAAAATAGCCTTTGCAAAACCCCTAGATGCTCATATCCTGAGAGGTCTTTACTTGAAAAGTTGACAGACTTTTGATATTTTCCCCTAACGCAAACCCATTCTCAAGACTGAACTCTTCCTGAAGTATATTTTTAAAAGTGAACACACAATTAAAAGTTATGCATTATATCAGCACAATGTGAAAGAAATGAGTAATCTAAACTCCTAGGATCTTTCTACATAAAAGCAAAATAATAATTAAGAAGGGGTTAATAGGAACCAAGTCATAGAAGCTACTAGTAGCAAATTGAAAAGCAGAGAGTTACCAGTATAAAACATTTGTTCTGGAAATATCAAAAATATTTACACATAAACAAATTTATATAAAAAGTACATTTGTATAAATATTTCAGTTATCATAGAGAAATATTTATGTTAACTTCATACATCATAGAGACAGTGCTATTTAGTATGATCAGCACTGTAAGAGACATTAATCCAGCTGGGCATGGTGGCTCACACCTGTAATCCCAGCACTTTGGGAGGCCCAAGTGGGTGGATCACCTGAGGTCAGGAGTTCGAGACAAGCCTGGTCAACATGGTGAAACCCTGTCTCTACTAAAAATACAAAAATTAGCCGGGCATGGTGGCATGCACCTGTAATCCCAGCTATTCAGGAGTCTGAGGCAGGAGAATCACTTGAACCCAGGAGGCAGAGGTTGCAGTGAGCCAAGATCATGCCATTGCACTCCAGCTTCGGCGACAGAGCAAGACTCGGTCTCAAAAACAAAAACAAAAACAAAAACAAACAAAAAAAACAGACATTAATCCTAGCGTCAAAGCCTTCGACTACATGCCCATTTCTCTGTGTAATAGAGCTAAGAAGGCTGGAAATACCTGACAGAAGAAAGCAGCTCTTGAATTACTTCTGAGGCTTTTTAATTTAACTGTATGTCTTGTGAATTGTTGTAGCACGTAAACCTCTTTTTAAAAGATGCTCATCACTTTCTATTACATATTTCAGCATCAACTATCTTATCTCAACTGACAGGTTGTAACCCCCTAGAAGTCAGGTTTATATTTCCTATGCTGAACACACAGTAAGGATTTGATAAATAATTTTTGTCCAGCAAGTAAATGAGATATATCAATATATTTTGGTCTTCCTGAGCCCATTGTCAATCCTTTCATCCTGCATGTTTGATTAATTTTTACATATTCTAAGCATGTGACAGATGATAGCCTATCATACACACCTGTTTCTGGTTCATAAATCTCTAAATAAATCATCAGATTATGATGATAGTATGGATGTATGAGACGGCATGACATTTTTAAAAAGTGAACTCCAGCACTTTGGGAGGCCGAGGCGGGTGGATCACGAGGTCAGGAGATGGAGACCATCCTGGCTAACACGGTGAAACCCCGTCTCTACTAAAAATACAAAAAATGAACCGGGCGTGGTGGCGGGCGCCTGTAGTCCTAGCTACTCGGGAGGCTGAGGCAGGAGAATGGGGTAAGCCCGGGAGGTGGAGGTTGCAGTGAGCCGAGATTGCACCACTGCACTCCAGTCTGGGAGACAGAGCAAGACTCCATCTCAAAACAAACAAACAAACCAGTGAATTCAGATTCTAACAATAGTACAAGTGCCTGGGTATCCACAATTATGAGCAGTGATGTACAGGTCTCTCATGGAAGGAGAGACTGAAGTAAAGTAAATTTTGCAGGAAAGCAGAAGAGGCAGTAATGTGGTTAATGAGATTTGGGGAAGATCCTTCCTATTCCGGAAGTACTTCCCTGTTAGTGTATTATGTTGTAATTCAGGCCGTTCAACATTCCATCGTTTACAGCAATTATTTTATGTATGTTATGATGCACAACCTGAAAAATTGTGAGAATCACATTTGAAATCTGTTTGGAACAATCCTGTGATACTTGTTGCATATCCCAAGGGATTTCCTTGGTTCACCTTCTTTCCTCTGTAATCTATGGAAAGTTTTGAGGAAGAACTTGAAAAAAAAGCTTCTCCTTAAAAAAAAAAAATCACTCTAGGAAGAGAATGAGAACAATTGCATTTGGGCACTCTCACCTGAGACAAAAAAAAAGTCTGATGCAAAAATCTTCATCTTTCCTGAAGTCTCTTCTGGTTGAGTTCAAATTGAAAATTCTTAAAAGAAATGATTAAGGACATTTAAAAATGTGTGTAGACTTATTACTACTATTGTTCAATTGTGTGGATCAAACCAGGAACCAGAATATGTAAGATGTAGGAAGGCCAGGGCAGTAGAGGAACTGGAATGGCACCATCTAGTGGCACAAGGAACTGCTGTGGCTTCCGAGCACAGGGGTCTGATGCTGGGTATGTGAGTATCAGCTAAGACAGGCTATTAGCTGGATCTAAAAGAGCAGCAGGAACTGAAGGTGGGTAGTGGCAGGGTCCAAGACAGAACTTGAAAAGTCAAGAATTGTAGGAGAAACGTACAACTATGAGATGTATATGACATTTTATTTCTCCAAGTTCTCCTTGAGTTTTGTGGGAAAGATGGAACTTTTGAGTTTCTTACCACTGAAATGTACTTCCCTAGAGAAGGAGAAGTTACAATCCATTTTATAAGCCAAAGGTGTATAAAATGCAAAGATGAGGAAGGTGAATGGCTGCTTGCATCATAAGAAGTGTTGCTTTCCAACAGCAATTTTAGCTTTGAATGTAAGAATCCTACAAGTGACTTGTTTTTAAATATGAATACATAGATAGGGCTAAAATGTGGACATGTTTAAATTAGTTCAAACACACACACACACACACACACACACACACACACACAGAGTACATAGGTAAAACAACCCAAGATTTGAGAATCTGTGTTCCAGCTAAATTAGCTACTCCCTGAACCAACCATTAAGTCATGCCTTTTTTCAGATTAACCCAAACCCCAAAATTATCTTTTCTGTAGCTTCACTGTAACTATTGTCTTGAAAATTCAGATTTCTAAAAGGAAGAAAGGTAAAGTTAGTTATCCTTCCATCTTTTCTCCCACTGATCTTCTTACTTCCACTTTTGCGTAATTACTCTGAACCCTCAGTCATATGTAGCTCTTTTGCTTTGACCTGGAGAGACATTCCTCCTCTCTGGAAGTGGTCAGAGTGCTCCTGTTCCCACCCTCTGACCTGGCTATGTACTTTGTGGTTCTCTCTTCAACCCCAAAGAGAAAAGGATGCAGAGTCTCCCGGAAAGCGTAGTTCTTCTTCCATGCTGAACAATTTTCCACCATTTCTCATTAACTAATTGAAACCTTGCCCATTTTACATAACATTTATGTCATGAGCTACTGGCCCCTACTCTATGGTGGTCAGCACAGGATTTGAGTGGAAGGCATGTGGATTCTCTACCGCATCTGGCCAAGAAAACAGTTCCTAAAGGATCTTGGTTCTAAGTAACTTCCCATAAATATGTGTCAGGACAACACATTTATCCATGCATACCTAAGAGTGGACTGTTTGCTATCAATGGAGATTTGGATTGTAGGATTCTTTGGCACTGGGCTTTGTGTCTAATGATATGGCTGTTAATGCTATATGAAATTTTTATTAAAGGGCTACCTCTTTAGGATAAAAATATAAAAGTATGACTTTTACCATCACATTAAGAAGCCTAACACATAATGATACAGATGAAATGGTTATGTTTGATGAGAGAGATACTAAACTAGCACTTCTTTGTTAGTGACTTAATTTTGTCCTGTAACAACTGCTCAGTTAGTTCAGTTAGTGCACCGTATCTTCTTTAGAAACTTTCCCGCACCTCACTTTGCCCCGATTCCCATTCCCATTGCTCCCAATTTATCCCTTCTCTCCAACAAAAATTTAGGAGCTTATGTTACACATTAGCAAATCAGCAGTATTTTAAGATGATTTACAGAGAGCTTAAGATAAAACCGTACTTTTCAAACTCCATAGCTGGAAACTCCCTTGAGCTTTAATTTAAAGTCTCTGCTTCCTGAAATCTCATTGACATAAAACATTCAGGACTTCAGTTCTAAATGATTTTGTGGAAGTGATTTTTAATAGGCATATAATACTGCTGTTATTTAATAAACAATTTTCATACAAATAATAGTATAAGTACTTTTTTTTAACTTTTCTTAAGGACAGACATTCTGTTTGACAGAATGTATGGATCTGTGACAACTGACAGTCCAAGAAGTTCATAGCCTTCTTAAACACATAGTGTCTGCTGCTTTGACGTGCAACAGTGAGTACAACATAAAAAAATTATTTCACTTTTTCATGACCCTACTTGAATTTTTCAGGACAGATTATTGGGTGATTTTAACATTATTGCCAAATTTTAATTGTAGAATTAATGGTAGACATTGATAAGGACGGTGAACGGGTAAACTTACTGAAACCTTTGTAAATATCCGCTGGTACTTAAACAATGCACACATGGATTTTATTTATGATGATTTTCAATAACCCTGAACTTGGGATCAGTTGGTTGTAGTGTAAAAAGCAGTAGTAGACCACCCAGTATGAATTGAAAAATAAATCTTAAAAATATATGGCATGTATGCATGAATACATTGTTAATGTTGGTTGTATTTTTAAATATTGGCTCTATATATTATTGGGTTTCAGTGCCACCAAAATTTTCTAAGGAAATAGCCTCTGATTACTGTTTTTGCTAAAGTTGCATATTTTAGTTTAAAAGGTCTTTCAGTGGGTAACTTGAGTATTTCTATTTATAGGAAGTATTTAAGTTACTATATTTCCTTCATAGAATACAAATACTATGAAAATTACTGGAAAAAGTTTTTGAGAAATCAAACAACTCTCACTGCCGCCAAACTTCATGAAGCCCAATACTGTAATAATTCAGAAAAATGTGTACTTTCATTACACTGAAAGCCTAAAAGAAATGAGAAGATAACATTATCTATAAAGTAATACCATTACATTGCAATGCACTGACTCTCTGAAGGATGTTGTCAGCTGGATAAAAATATTTCTGTAGTTGAGGTGTTGCATATTCTTTTCTTACCAATTTTTTTTATAAGGGATGCATTACTTTTGAAAAGCTAAATAGGGGCCAGGTGCAGTGGCTCATGCCTATAATCACAACACTTTGGGAGGCCGAGGCCGGCGGATCACTTGAGTGAAGGAGTTAGAGACCAGCCTGGCCAACATGGTGAAACCCCATTTCTACAAAAACTACAAAAATGAGCTGGGCATGTGGTGGCATTGTCTGTAGTTCCAGCTATTCGTGAGGCTGAGATGGGAGGATCACCAGAGCCCGGGGAGGTTGAGGCTGCAGTCAGCCATGATGGCGCCACTGCACTCCAGCCTGGGTGACAGACCCTGTCTCAATAATAATAATAATAGTAATAATAATAAGAAGAAGAACAAGGAGAAGAAGAAGAAAAGCAGAATAGTAGAAATAGTAGGAGTAGAAATTCTCCTACCCCCAATTTACCCTATATCATTGCTGAGTAAATATTACTTAGAACACAAATACTTTCTAATGACTTTCATCACGGCAACTCTGAAATATTTAATATTTTCATCAGCACACTAAGTAATTTTAACCTGATGTTTTAGGGCCCTTACATCTTAGTATCTGATCCTCACCCCTAAGGCCAGCAAACCTTGGAAGCAGGTAAGCCTTCTTAGAACTCAGACAGGAGAAAGCCTGAGTGGAGCCACTGGGCCAGTGAAATCCTGACAAATCATTGGGTAAGAACACTCCAAATTTGTGCCCCTGAAAGAGTGAGATACAAATTTGTATGAATCACTCAATTAAGCAGTGGTTTCCAACCTTTTGGCATCAGGGACTGGTTTTGTGGAAGACAGTTTTTCCACAGACGGGGGTGTTGGGAATGATTTCGGGATGAAACTCTTCCACCTCAGATCATCAGGCATTAGTTAGGTTCCAACAGTGAGCACCCAACCTGGATCCCTGGCATCCACAGTTCTCAGCAGGGTCCATGCTCCTATGAGAATCCAGTGCCACTGCTAATCTGACAGGAGATGGAGCTCAGGTGGTAATGCTGGCTCCTCCATCACTCACCTCCTACTGTGTGGCCCATTCCTAACAGGCCATGGACTGGTACCACACTGTGGCCTGGGAGTTAAAAGCACTGGGCTCAAGCATTGTTGTGCACACAAATCACCTGCGAATTGACTAAAATGTTGATTTTGATTCTGTAGGTCTCGTGTGGGTCTTATGTATCCGTATTTCTCATGAACTCCCAGGTGACAGAAATGTCCATATTCCACACTTTGGTCACATGTTTTGAGTATGCTGGACTTAGTGGATGGTTACCCATGTTAGACAATCTAAAGAGAGATCAATAGCACATAAGATTAGGATCTGCATAAGGATAAAAAAGGAACAAGACAGTAACCCAAGCATTTGCACTGTTAATAAAAGAGATGATATCTTTGTTCTTTTTATGCTGTTACTTCCTTTTAAAATCAATGCATTTTCTTTCCTTGCTTTTTTGAGCCCCTATTCTCTCTTTCAACCCTCCCAGCATTGAGATTTTTCTGGCTCATTATGTCTTCATTTTCTAAAGTTTTTGAGCACTTTCCAATTCAATCTCCTAATATTGTATTAAATATTTTAGCATCATGTGACTAATAAATGAAAGTTGAGTATATAAACTGAACTGTGTTGTATTCAATGAAAGACATTTAAACATAAGACGACTGCTAAGAAGCACTCAGAAATTTAGATATGCCTAGAACTAGATATGTATAAATGGTGCATCTGTACTCAATGCATAAAAGAAATCTTAGTTCAAATTTTATCTGAAAATTATACTCAGTGCTATCTACCATGACTATATTTATACACACTTAGTATAGCCTATTGGGTTTTTTAATTAATTCTCTTTCAAGTTATGGACAGTATAAAATATTTGTGTACAGGCCTTACCCTTTTTCTCCCTTCCAGATTGTCTAAACTCTAATGTATACAATTGTCTTTTCTGGGGGCCAGCCCAAATGGTCTCTTGAAGTTACTATGAACAAAATGATTGTACTTCAAAGCCTGCACTTTTGTTTCATCTTTTTGTGCTGCTTTTTATCAATTTCCAAAATAGTTAAAGCTTAAAGACGACAATACTTCAAACAAAAGCAATTATTTAAAAAAGATTACCAAATAATTGAAGCCAATCAGTGTTCACACATTTGGAACTTTTGGAACTTTTATCCTTTCCTACCAGACCTTGAAGTCCATCAGATTTTGCTGAGGCCTTTATATTAGTGAACATCTGGATCATGTCATAGTTTGGTTTTATTTTTGCCTAACAGTTTCTTTGTGGATTTGCCTCCCACAACACATATGGTTTATTTCTTATGTTTATCCCTAGCTTGGCAGGGTTTTGAGGTGTCACGTCTCTTTTCATCTCTACTTTTTAAAGGGAATGATTTTGCATAAATTATCATCTTTTTAGGTGTGAATTATGGTAGTGGTCTTTTCATGTGTTCTTTAGAGACCATGAATAAATGCCTCTGCTCACATTGTCTTCCTGTGAATTATATATTATTACAATACATAGAATTTTTTCAGCAATATATATTTTTTAAGTTTGATTTTATTTTTGAAAGTTCATCAGCACTTGCAATTGCTTAGACTGTGTCTCAAACCTTTTCATATATGAAAACACGCTTAATATCATATAGTTTATTTCATTGAGTCTATATAAAAATAATCATTTTGTCTTCTGGAAGACATTTTATTAGGTAATGCATAGAAAACTGTCTCCTTTTCGAGCTGGAAAATGCTAACTTTGAAAACTGTATATTAAAAGAATTAAACAGGTGATTACTTAGTAAAAAATAATTGGCCGGGCGCGGTGGCTCACGCCTGTAATCCCAGCACTTTGGGAGGCCGAGGCGGGCAGATCACGAGGTCAGGAGATCGAGACCATCATGGCTAACACGGTGAACCCCCGTCTCTACTAAAAATACAAAAAATTAGCCCGGCGTGGTGGCGGGCACCTGTAGTCCCAGCTACTCGGGAGTCTGAGGCAGGAGAATGGCGCGAACCCGGGAGGCGGAGCTTACAGTAAGCCAAGATCTTGCCACTGCACTCCAGCCTGGGCGACAGAGTGAGACTCCATCTCAAAAAAAAAAAAAAAAAATTGACTAATTTACTCTAAAATGCATTCTTAGAGATCATGATGGCAGACAGTAGCCCCAAAATTTGCAATGAAAAGTTAACATGGTTGGAAATTAAAAGTGCTGATATCTTAATGTAGTGTTTTTTTAGAGAATAAAAAGTCAAACATCTGTTATCTTTGATTAGGAGTCATTTAGAATTTCTTTTGCAAATTTTTATGGGCAAAGGTAAGATGTAGAAAAGTGCTCACATGAAAGACATGGCCAAGGGAGATTATTGCTATTTTGTACAACTACTACTTTAAAATGGGAAGCAAGAGAAATTAATGACAGAAAGTAGAGGGCTAAAGATCTACAGAAGGTGGTAATAGATATAATAAAAAACATTTTATTTGGAAATGAGAAAGAACATCATGTTCTCATCATTATCAGG
Organism: Homo sapiens; assembly: GCF_000001405.40. Taxonomy (NCBI): domain Eukaryota; kingdom Metazoa; phylum Chordata; class Mammalia; order Primates; family Hominidae; genus Homo; species Homo sapiens. Next base: position 83,953,699 of record NC_000007.14, read on the forward strand.
ACGGAAATCAAGAAAAGTGAGTAAATAATTAGTGTTAGCAGTAAACATTATATGTCAATGTTAACTATTACCCCAATTCTGTGAATACGTTTTCTATCATTTATCTCATATAGATGGAAGAACTGATATATTAAAATCTTATACAGGGGAGAACTGAGGCCCAGAGAAGTAGAAATAAATCAATACTCAAAGACACCACTAAGTACATGGGTATAGCAGGTATTCAACCCAGGTTTGCAGGTCTCCAAAACCTGTTTTTAACTGTGCTGCTGATTTCCTATTTGATTGTCTCTCCTCTCTTAGTGAAAGAGATGTTCCCTTATTTCTAGGTCAACTCATTCACCATTCTCTTCTTCATTTTCTAAGAGTCTTTGACATCCTTTTTCTCTATTTCCATACAGCATGGCATCTTAAATTATATTTACATTAACTAGTTATCTTTCTGGAAACACAGGTAATCGTAAATCATACTTGAATTAGAACTTTATGTCTATCGCTTTTGATCATGTGAATTGAGCAGTTAGTTATTCAACCACTCTGTACTTCAGTTTCTTTATTGATATAATAAGGATAAAATAGGATTTTTTGAGTTGTTTTAATAATTAAAGTAATACAAATAAAGCACTTGATAAAGAAAACAGTATGTTGTAAACACTTGATATTACTATCATTACTAATATGACTACTACGACTATTACTATATCCATTGTATGACACATCATGTTAAATGTTGTGTTTCCTGTTCTTCAATAGATTGTGAGTTTCTCAAAGTCAAAGGCTAATTCTCACTCACCATAGAAAACTCAAGTACAGTATGTTGTGCCAGATCCTCAGGCTGTGTGTCCTACTTCATATGAAAAGGCCCACGTGATATCATAAAAATATTTAGACTATAATATCTAAAAACACAATTAATATAAAAATACGTAGTGAATATAATATCTAAAAACACAATGAATATAAAAAATGTAACGTTACTAGCACCAGGCAGTAACTTTAGCAGTTTAGGATGTATTAATGCTTCCATACGTCTGCTTATGTTTTTATTTAATATTATATTATTGAATTAAAATTAATACAGTGCAGTGTATTACAAAGAGTTTCTGCTTTGGGCTTATTGATATACATTTTATAAATTATATAAATATTTCCTTCTAGAAGTTCAAGAATATTACTTCTCAATAATGAATATAGAGCTTCCTGATATGACATAATTTTTAGAAACATTGTCTCAGGACCAAGAGGAGATTAGAAGAAGAAGACCAGTATGGTCACAGTTGCAAATTACATTCCAATCTTCACTGAGGGGAAGAGGACATGCTACCTTTTGAATGATAAGTGATTTTGCCATCTAGAGTACTTGTTGATTTTTTGTTTGTTTGTTTTTGTTTTGGATTCTAGAGGGGTCAGGAAGTTAAAGAAGAAACCCAAACAATGTAATGTTTCTAAAGTTAATGACTAATGACTACATAATTGTTTTGATCAAAATAGAATAATCCTGGGATAAGTATTCTCTTATGTTTTGAGTAAATATTTAAAGAATTCAATAAACTCCTTGACAGTATTCTTTTCCATATGGATAACAGATTATTTTTGTGATGCTAATATTCATTGGGTAATAATTCAAACCACTTCTGAAGGCAAATACAATAAAAATAATTTCAACAGGCATGCTATTAGGGTCAAAAGTTCTGCAAGGAAGAAAATGAGCAATGATTCTGAAATTAGTAGATGGCAACAATGCAAATTGGATACTTAGCTAGACCATTATTCATCAGTATCTAAATTTAAATGGAATATATTGAATGGCATACACAGACCCAGACTTAAACTGAGTTTTTCACATTTATCAGCAATTTAAAATACTGCATGAGTAAAATACAAATATTTGAGGGCTAATAAAACTGTCAATCTTTTTTGAAGGATGAAAATCCCTAAAAATTGTGGTGTATTTAAAAAATTCCTGATGTGGCTGTTTGATTTTAGATGAAAACTTTGTCTAAAAATGTTTAAGCTTCTCTGGAATTAGTTATCAACAAAACAAACAAAACATTAAGAACTGAGCTACACAAATGACATGGATATTTTACAAATGTATTTACTTGAGATCTAATGCTTCAGTGAGATTTACAAAGAGAGAAGACGGAAGTTGAGCCTTCACATTACCTGAATTGTGATGACATGAACACATCTATAAAAACTTTTGCTTAGGTCCTATATAAATAAACATTGTATATACAAGTATAGTGTTTAGATTAAAAGAAAGAAAATCCATTCTTTTGTTATATGAGAAAAACATGACAGATTAATACAACGGTGGTGCGGGGTTGACATATTCAAGATGAAGGTGGGTCTCATTTTTTAAAAAACTTTTTTGGTTTGTTTGTTTAAAATAATAGGAGTCTGCCTATCAACTACATGTGCTGACCACACCTGCAGCATTGCTTGGCCATGAATTACTCCATCTAAGGTATGCCTTGAACAAATGCAGACTTCACATTTTAATGCTATCTTTGCTGAAGTCTTGTTTGTGAGCCACCTTGCTTTTTAGCAAGGCAATGTTGGAACTCATTGCTGAGTAGTCTAATGCTAGCTGAGTGAGGTAAGGCTGTAGGTAGGTGAAATGTAACAGAAACTTTCGTTTGAACTGAGAGCATAGGGGAGTGTCTGATGAAGTTAGCTTCCTCTAAATATTTATTTGTAGAATTCAGAGTTTCAGCTGACCTGTGCTGGTTTGAACTAGAGGAGAGATTATGAAATACAGATGAGTTTGAAGACGGTTGTGGGAACACTGTCTAGTGCTATGACTTTAGCTGAGTAAAGATAAATGAGGTGAACATTAAGAAGGAAGGTAAAGAGATTGTGGGGTGGAAGTGTAGGAGGCTGAATGTGTGACATATGACAGTCTGTGCCAAGGATGCGAATGTGGGGTACAAACAGAGGGCAATAAATCAAAACCCAGGAAAAAGCAAATGCACCATTTTGACTCATAGTAGTGGGACATTTAACTTTTCTTTATGAAACCTGTGTTTTATCTGTTTGAATGCTTGTTCTCAGAAAAAGGACTTTTTTTCACACCTCTCCTCCTTTCTCCTTATTTCTTCTACTCAGATTGCCATTTTGTTTCTTCATCTAGGCATATCTGACTGATTCACAGCTGGAAAGTCACTTATTCTCTGAAGCACCCCATGATCTCTCTCCACAAGTTAATTCCTCCTTTTTTTTTTCTTTGATCCATACCGCTCTTATTGTGAGCTTGTATTTGGCAATTGTCATATCGTAACTTGGTTCTTTTCAACAGTGATTTATTGGGCTCCCTCTTTGTGCCAGGCATCATGCTAGACACTGGGGACAGAGATCAATTAGATACAAATCCTGCCCTCAAGGAGCTCACAGTCTAGAAATGGAGATGGAAACATAAACAAATAAATCACACATTGGGGTAGTGTGACAATAAAAGGTATATACAAGGCACAGGTTTAGCATAGAGAAGGTCCCTAGCTTGAACTAGGGATGGGAGGATTAGGAAAGACTTGCTGGATTAGATGATGATAAGTCATCTCGCTCTGTTTCCTTAATTTCATTGTGAGCTCTTTGAGAACAAGGGTTATGTCTTATTCACTTTAGTGTCCTCATCACCTAACATAATACCTAGCACATTGTAGATAGTCAAGATCTATCAGTGGAATTTACTTGAACGTGTAGGAAGCTGGTTCTAAAAGGCAAAGTGTCTAGAGGCCCAGTTTTTTAATATTCAAAATCTTCTTTTTGTTTGGTTTGGTTCCAGCTTTGCCTCTGCCTGTGTGTGCCTGCATGTTTGAAATGATAACAAAGCTGTTTTCCTTGGTTACGTTGATTGCGAAACTGTCCTTACTATATGGGCTGTCACATATGCTGATTTTATTCTCTCTTTCATTTAGATATTTTCTTAATTTATTAACTTGAAAAATTATGTTCATTTAATTAACTAGTTTAAGAAAATTTTTAGAGATCAAACAAACTAATGAGATTTTACAGATTTTTGAAAAATAATGTTTTCTTCTTTATGGAAACATGTATTTGCAAACATTAACATTGACTTCAAATAATTATTACAAATCAAGTTAAAAGTATAGATGTCCTTGGTGTTAGACCAGTTTAACATGTTATTACACGATACGGGGGTGTTGAATCCTATTTAAGTCTGTCTTTGAAACCATGAAACCTGATACAGTTTCATTAAATTGAATGGAAATTGTGTTTTAAAATGAGCTAATAAAACAAAGATTTTAACATATTATACTAGTGGCTCCATATTAATAAAATGCTTGTCTGTGACCTTTAAGATAAGCAATTTCAATAACAGTCATCTGACATCTTTGTGGATCCTGAATAAAACCAAACTGATTATGAAAATGACACATTATAAAAATTTATCCCTACATTTCCTTTTTAGGTATGACATTAAAAAGAACAATACTTAATTTAAAGGGCATAAAAATTCACATCATCACCATAAATATAGAACCCAGTTTACAGATGACTACAATGAAGAAATCTGTTAGCTAATTATGTAGCAACCTGACTCTGGTTCTCAACATTTTATGAGCTTATGTTCCTTAACACCATATGTTATAGGGAACAGTAAAGACATCTGAATTCAAATATTTTGAAGAAATGTGTATTTAGCAAGTGAATACATGCTAAAAGGAATAATTTACAGCAGCAGTTTCATTACATTTTTCTCTCCAGTTTTTCTAGTTCCCATCTGAAATGCAATGATAAGTAAAGATATGGAACATATTTCCTACCTGGCAAAAAACATGCTTATTGAACGGGCACGCACCTTCCGCCCTTAAATAGTACATAAACCACCTTGTCACCTGCGTGGGAAAATCTTGCCTTTTAGGATGATGTTGAACACATTGAAATGGAGTACTTATAGAAAGTTTTATTTTACACTGTTCTTCCTCTTTTTCTCCCAAATTATTTACATCTTTTTTTTGCCTAATGTGTAGGTAGCAAAAATATTAAACACATACCACTGCAAATTACTAAATAATACATAAAATGAAGTGTGCATTTACATGCATTTACATTTTACATTTGATATCAACTGGGCCATAATGTCTCTGCTGTGATGCATCTTTTTCATACTTTAAGACTGCTGTTGTAATTTTCGTAAGGTCACATGAGTCTCTCAAACAGTTTCATCTCTGATGATTCATGCATATGACAAAGTCTATTTAAAGCTGAATTATTAAATGGGCCAATAATTCTTTTTCGTGCAAACTGCCCCCTCTCAATACACATGGGCAGAGATTATGACTGTAATGAGTTATCTGCAAGTTATATCTACAATTTTCTTTGAAAACTTAGACCTGATGGTATATAAAGACATGCCTGTAGATTTGTTTGTTTGTGTAACTTTTAATTGAAGTCGAGACTTTTTTCTATTGTCATTTCATAACACTAAACAAAATGCATTCAAATTCTGAAAGTCTTCTATAAATTTATCATATAATCTCTATCCCTTCAAATCCTTTATTTCTGAGGATGAATAATAAGATATTTCTGCTATCGCAAATAAATTTATTTCAGCTGCAAATTTAGAATGAAACACAACACTGAATGTTAGTACAGTTTAGATACTTTATGAAAATAAAAGAATGACCTATTTTTTGGAGCACTCTTTGTTCTTCGATTTATATTTGAAACACTACTTTCTGTACAGTGGTGTGTCCTTCAAATAATTTAACAATTTGGCTTCCATGTGAGGATATACAGTACTTCCAAAAGCAACACCATATTAGTCAATGGAGCCTAAAATTGAATGTAGATTATTTTTAGGCTTTTGTTTGAAACAAGTGGCAACAACTTGTTTATTCAAGGCAGTCATTAAAACTGAAACATGAGCTTCCATCTGTGAAATATTTCAGCTGATAGGAAATAAAAATTCACTGTAGTCTGAGGTGAGAAATTGATGCTGAGTTAATTAGAATCCAAAGACAGCTAGAGTTAGAATTTCAATGTTGCTTCATTAATTACTAATAAGATGTTTTCTTTGCATTTTTGTGCATGATGAGGAACCTGGGGGAGGAGTCCTGAATAGGTGAGTGCAGTGCAAAAGAAACCACAGTATAATGCTGAAAGTTTTAAATATCTCAAAGTCAGTGATTCTCAACGAATCGTCTTAGGACAATGAAGGAAGCAAATCTTGAATTTTAGTCTTTTACCTTATTTTGTAAGTTGTTGCAGGAAACAAAGAATTTTACATTGTTTAAATGTGGGTTGCATCCTGGAAAATACTTTGTAGAAAAGTCCCTCCCATTGATATGAAAAGAGTCATGTGTTTCTTGTACAAATAATTGTCTTAAATAAGGAAAGGTAAGAGGCACCTGATACAGATGTAAATGATTGGAAACTTTGCCTTTAACATGTTGCTCTGAATAGTTATTGATCTCTCTCTTTTAAAAAAATTAAGTGACACAGATATAATTCTTGGTAGAATCATAAGAGAGATCTTAGTCTCAAATATCATGCAGGGATTCAAGCACGGAATTAAGACACATTTTCTATTAACAGTATATTAAGACAATGCTTATTATTTTCATGAAATATGCAGTTCCTTTTCCCTTCATTGATTCATTATAGTAAAATGCACTTAAAAATCAACTTGTTTCTTCCTTTTTTCCTGCTTAAATGTTCTGTTTTTTTTTCTAAGAACATTATGCAAGTAAAAATTAATTTAGATAATGCTTAAAGAAGGGGAGGTGTGAACAGCTTCCATTTGTTTGATTTTCTCAGAGAAATAAAGCATAATTTATATCCTGGTTTTAGAGATTCACTCTTAATGATGTATATGTGTTTCTAGAACAATGTCATCTATCCCTCTTATAGAATTGAAAATAAAATGTCCAAAGAAAGCAGCACACCATTGGAATTTTTAAAACAAAAACTACATAGCACAATAATTGTAAGACAAATCCTACTCTAGCTTAGAAAACAACTAATTTTTACTGCATATTTTTCATGGTACATTTAAATTATAGTTTTAATAAAATACATCTTTAGATCAAAGCTGAAAGAAGACATCAGTAGTAGATCAGTGTATTCCATTTTTCTTCTGGATGATGGATGGCTTATGTTTTTTTTTTTTTTTAATATTTCCACAGAACATTTCATTCAGTATCATTTTACTCATTTTACTCCTCAAGTACATACAAACATGAGGGCCGGTAGACAAAATATATCCTTGAATCCAACCACGTTTTGGAATATTCATCAGCTTAGTAAATCCATGCAGTTCATTTTAAACTTTTAGTTCAATACAATGGCTTTGCTGATGCAGTTTTTCTCCTTTAGATGGCAATATGGCAAATGACATTTTTATTTCTCAGGCAAAGAAGAAAGACAAACCTGTACAGTGAAATCTCATAGGAAACATTAAGTCTGCTAAAGTGAACATCTGCATTCACCTGTGTTCTCTGTTAGGTGGTGGTATTAGGAAAAAAAGCCTATTAGGAAAGTTACTCATGGATTTAATTTATAATTGGTGGAACTCAGCTGAATTTCCCACCATTGTAAACATCCACATAATGCCATGAAAAAAGTTCATGTATATTGCATTTGTTTTTCCAGTTATTGTCTAGGCAAGTTTCTACTTGTTTGAGGTTTCTAGAGGTAATGCAGCTCAGACACTCCTGGGTGCCCTCTCAAATTCGTGGGTCCTCCTGTTTCTACCTTTCTTATTTTCTTGTAAGTGCTTCCATTTGTTACTGTTCCCTGGGGTATGTCCTGGCCTTTGCCGACGTTGTTTTCGGTCCCTTTTCCAAACTTGTTCACAGAACTCATCCATTGTGTTGAGATTGGGGTGGTTGATGAGCTGCATGAAGTCTCTGTACCAGACCTTCTGGCTAGGTGTCATGCTATTGGACATTTCTTTGGTCTTAGAGCCATCTCCATCATCATCTTTATGAAGAAGTTCTTCCAAATGCTCTGTGTCAATGACTTCCAGGGTTACCTTAAGAAGAGTTTGTATGAACCCATGTTCCACCGCATGGCAGAGGTAATTGCCTGAATCCTTCTGTTGTAGACTACGTAGCAGAAGGCCTTGATCTGTCCTGATGATATGATCATCCACTCTGATCTAGCAGGTTAAAAAAAAGGCAGTGTAAAATATACATATTTAAAAGAAATAGAAGCTCTGAAACTCCGTGTCTGTAAAACTTTAGATTATGTGTTGAGGCACATTTTAACAGTTAATAAAAATTTTTAATTTAAGAGAAGTGATAGCATTTTCCCATTAGGAGAATTATAATATCTGTCAATTGTTTTTAAGATGTATTGGAAAGTATTGGTTATATTACTGTTTTAATAGAATTTCTTATAATAATTTAAAATATTCAAGGTAACTGGAGGAAAGAGCAAAGATACTTTATACATTTGAAAGTAGGTATATAAATATAGGATAAAGTTAACATTAAATATTGAAATTAGAACTACAGAACCATGATACTAGAAAGATACGGGGCATTAGAATGAATTTATAATAAGATTTCCAAAAATTAAATTTTAAAAAAATAGAAGTTGAACAAGCAGAACATTTCATGCTTACTAATTATTTATTTCATTTAGTTGGTCTTGAATGGGAATATATATGAGACCATATTTTTGAATATTTGTAACCTCACTTTTATTTTGAATACAGTTTACAATAGAGGTCTCAAAAAGCCTCACCTGGTAATGCATGAAATCAATCTTGCATTTTATGATGGGATTATATAGTTTTAAGACTGATTAAAATGTCAAAAGATAATGGAAGAGTTTTTACCTTTAACATCATATTATGTTTGTAAAATCGTCTGCATATAATACATTTTATTAATCAACTCAATAATCTGTTTATGCTTATTTAAGGCTGTTAAAAAGTTTTAAAGGCTCGTAGTGCTCACTAAGATTTTCTGTATACAATTCTTTACTCTTATGGAATTATAAATGGATCAAATGAGCAGGGAGATCTGCCTCATCCTGCATCAATAGTTGATATCAGAGCTTATAGTGCAGCCTTAAATCCATCACCCTACATCTACTACTATCTTTTCCCAACCTCCCTTCCCCATTTAAGGAGGAAGGTAATGGATAAAGAAAAACAGATTTTGATAATATAATTAATTGAACAAAATTTAAAATTAGTAGGAGGTTTTTTTTTATTTGTGCACAAATATAAATAACACAATTTCTTTGTAGATAAACACAGTAAGAAATAAGGGGAGTCTAATATGTATCCCCAAACTGCTTCTGGGGCAGAAACTCTTACCAGGTTACCTTTGTTTCTCTAATTCATAGTACAAAGTCTGTCACGTCATCAGTCTGCACTAAACACTTGTTCAATGAATGAGCGATTGATTGGTTCAGAAGAGGATAAGCATTCTCAGTGCTTTTTCTTTCCTCAAGTGAAAAATACAAGGATTACATTTAACAGTGTATCTTAGATATAAATGATCCAGTCAGTTTCATTCCTGTACCTCTTCTTTTCGCTCTTCATTTCGCCTCTGGAATTGCCAATAGACCAGCGCTCTCTGCGACTTCGGACTGCATTCCAAAAATGTGCTACTATTCTCTACACCATAGATGATTCTCTCTTCAGGGCTGTGGCCATGGTGATTATCTGGCCAGTGATGAGAAAATGCAATGAGAAAATATTAGAGAAGTAATTTCAACTTTCCAAAGTTTTTATTTGGAAATTCAGGAGACAAGTTATTGCCAAGTTGGAAGTTGTTTCACATTGATTGAGGATGACAGAAATGTCAGTGATGTAAGGTTTCAGAGCCCAAATGCCTACCTAAATCGACTAATCATTTTGGTATGGGTTATATAAAACATAGACGGAGATTTGTCTACCAGAAAATGGCATTACATTTACAAAATCAATCATGTGTGTAGCATAACTATACGTCTTTATATGTCATGATAAATACTCTACAGGAAATTATTTTCACTGCAAAACTCTGTGCTTGGACTAATAGGGCCAGTTTGTATTATATTATTCTGTAACACAAAAAGTTATTGGAATAAGTTTTTGGAAACAAGGATGTATTTCAGAGAAATTATTTTGCCTGTGTGTTTATTTTTTATCTGTAAAATTAAATTTGCCAACTAATATTTATCTAGCATTTTACAGAAGGTAGAGTGCAGGAAGTTTATACTATCCACCAATAATTCCTAAATAATCTACAAGTTTGTTCTGAAGATCAATTGGTGTGAAAAGTTAGGGATGGCTTTGAAAAACAGATGCATAGTTATAATGCAATGTGGTTTCAATTGTTCTTATTTTAAAATGACACATCTTTCATTATTTTCAGGAATTAGGCTATGGAATAAGGCAAAAGTACATAATAAAATGCAGCAAAAAGAAAACCTGTTTCCTGATTAAGTTTCTATTATTTTACCCTTTATGTAACCTCCTCCAATGTGGTAAATGAAACACAGCTCAGATCAAAAGTACAACACAGGGAGTCTAGGTAAAACTCATTTAGAGAACAAAACTCCTTCTTATCTTGCATAATCCTGTTTCCATTATGACATCCTGTACAATCTGAAACTCATTAAATTAATTTAGAAAATAATAAATATGTTTTACATGCACAGAAAGCTGACAGTGTAGACAGATGAAAAATTTTTGCTCTCTACTTCAAACTCAGCTAGATTTTTAATTTAAAAAATGTTTTCCCCTTTTTTGTCATCACTTTGACAGTTTTACTCTTGTCATAATCAACTGAATACCTTTGACTGTCATAGCTGATGATTTGCTCTCACTAGGTTTAAAGCCTTCAAAAATGCTACTCCCATACAATCCCTGTACAAGGCCTGTGTCTATCATCTCCTACCCTCATCATACCCTACCTACTTCATTCCACCTTCTACCTTCAATTGCTGTCTACAGAGGTGTCAACCTCAGTGCCTGTTTCTCAAATGCCCTAGGTGTGAAACAAAACTCTTCCAATATTGGGAATTATCTGTCTCTTATTGAAAAGATCAATGCCCTGGAAATAGGAAAATAAATCAGAAATGATTGCAATGTAAAGAAATAATATTTAACTGATTCCAAGTCACATTTAAAAAAAATTGGACATGCATATCTTCATGTGCCAATATCTATATTGTATAGGCTGTTTTTTTTTCCCCTCTGAGATTATTAGTGCGTCTTGAATTGAATGCATATGGAACATGTTGCTATACTCATTTGTAAGATAGCTGCTTCCTGGGATACAGGTGAATTTAATTGCTATGGCCAACAGGGGCTGGAAAATCTGTAATTCAGGAGCTACCTGAATAATTAGAATGCATTGTCACAGAAGTTAATGCTATTTACATTGAATACTTTTTTTTCTAACTGTTCTGTGATTTAAACTTTTTTGTATTTTTTTTTTTTTGTATTTTTAGTAGAGATGGGGTTTCGCCATTTTAGCCAGCATGGTCCCGATCTCCTGACCTCGTGATCCGCCCGCCTCGGCCTCCCAAAGTGCTGGGATTACAGGCATGAGCCACCGCGTCCGGCCCGTTTAAACTTTTCTTTATTAAGAAATACTTTTAGGAGGAGACCTTTCATTCAATCTCTATATATGAATGAATTATATATGACATCAAAATATAGAAAAATCCACTGGATTTAGAAACAAACAACCCAGTGATCTGCCAGCATCTCCTTTATCAACAGCCATGTCTCCTAGGTCTATTTTCCCAGGTAGAAATTTATAACTGCAACTGACTTGTCTCTTGCATAATCTGCTAAAGCTACTAAAGAAAACTATGGTATAAATTACTACTCTCAAAGATAGAATTTCATATAAATCCTTCAATACATTAATTGACTCAGATAAGAGGAGTCACGTAACTAGTATAATAGAAAATAAAAGTGTTTCAATACCAATGTAACACCAATGGGTGCATATATATATATATATATATATATATATATATATATATATTTTTTTTTTTTTTTTTTTTTTTTTTTTTTTTGAGACGGAGTCTTACTCTGTCTCCCAGGCTGGAGTTCAGTGGTGCGATCTCGGCTCACTGCAAGCTCCGCCTCCCGGGTTCATGCCATTCTCCTGCCTCAGCCTCCCAAGTAGCTGGGACTACAGGTGCCTGCCACCACGCCCAGCTAGTTTTTCGTATTTTAATAGAGGCAGGGTTTCAACGTGTTAGCCAGGATGGTCTCGATCTCCTGACCTCGTGATCCGCCCACCTCAGCCTCCCAAAGTGCTGGGATTACAGGTGTGAGCCACCGCGCCCAGCCACCAATGGGTGCATTAAAAAAAAATCACTTAGTTGTCTTCTTTCTAACTAATTTAATCATTCTAGTTAGTCCACAGAGATAATTTTCTGGTAATCTTTCTTGTAGTTCTAGGTAACTGCTCAGTTTTCATTTCCTCTTCAGGACATCCTCTGGTGGTGGCAAGCTTTTTCCAATGTACCAGAAAACATGTAAAAATAGTTCTTTCAATAGAAAATATTCTTTTATTAAAAAATTATTTCATTTGATCTGCTACTTCTTCATAGTGGAATCTAGACTATAGACTATAGTCTTATAGACTTATAGACTATAAGATGGTGTTTGATTTAGCAATTATGATAACAAATTGTTTTTAGTTTAATATACTAATATTTCACTCTCTTCAAGAAACATTCTGATATTCAGGTACTTTCTCACCTAAATAAGGCAAGAACCACAATAGGTTAATTTGGTTTATGAGCTTGGTGCCCTTAGTAAGTTTGCTTTGATAACTACTCTTGCCAGTACCTCAAAGTCTCATTATTTCCCAAGTTTACCCTTTCTTTCCCCTTTTTGTCCAACAAAAAGAAACAGAATCATCCAGCTAGTGACCGGTGAGGCTAAAAGCCCTGTCATGTTAACTATCAATCACGATCAAGATACAGCGATACTATTGTATTTCTTTGGTTTAAGATTCTCCTATTTTATATTTTGTTAGGTTCTGCTGCGATCAGCAATAATTATTAAAAGTAAATTTTTTTTCTTTTTTTTTTTGAGACGGAGTTTCCCTATTGTTGCCCAGGCTGGAGTGCAATGGCGTGATCTCGGCTCACGGCAACCTCCGCCTCCCGGGTTCAAGCGATTCTCCTGCCTCAGACTCCCTAGTAGCTGGGATTACAGGCATGCGCCACCACGCCCAGCTAATTTTGTATTTTTAGTAGAGACAGGGTTTCTCCATGTTGGTTAGGCTGGTCTTGAACTCCCGACCTCAGGTGATTCGCCCGCCTCGGCCTCTCAAAGTGCTGGGATTACAGGCATGAGCCACCGCGCCCGGCCAAAAGTAAATTTTTATTGGATACAGTTATTTCTATTAAGTCTTCTGCCACAGGATGTTTCTACCATCAGCAGCTTCTGACTTAGGAACAGAACTTTTATTTAAAATGGCCTCAGCCAAGCACCCATCTATTTGGGTGTTCAGAAGTAAAAAATTTTCTGTTAATTTCCCCTAACCTGACATCTTATAAACAGATACCTAATCAATATTTTAAAATAATAATTAGAAGGCATTCAATAAATATCCTTTCCATTTCCTGAGTGCTCTACCGCAACCACTGGCATAAATTTTGTACAATATAGGAAACATTAGAAATCCATTAACAATGTGTTCTATCTCCCTCCAGCCCCCTTCTCTCCCCAGCTCCAGAAAAAAGTACGAACAGAAATAATATTTCGGTTCCTATCTTATAACCTTATTAAGTTCTTCACTTTTTCTTGGGATGTCAAACATACTGTCAATTTTGCCGGGCATGGTGGCTCACGCCTGTAATCCCAGCACTTTGGAAGGCTGAGGTGGACGGATCACTTGAGGTCTAGGGTTCAAGAACGGCCTGGCCAACATGGTGAAACCCCATTTCTACAAAAATACAAAAAATTAGTGGGGCATAATGGCGGGTACCTACAATCCCAGCTACTCTGGAGGCTGAGGCAGGAGAAGCGCTTGAATCTGGGAAGCGGAGGTTGCAGTGAGCCAAGATCGACCCATTGCACTCTAGCCTGGGTGACAGAGCAAGACTCAGTCTCAAAACAAACAAACAAAAAACTATCAATTTTAAAAATTTTGTTTTGTTTATAATTGGCACATAATATATGTACATATTTATAGGGTACAGTGTGATATTTCAATACATGTATACATTGTATAATGATCAAATCAGGGTAATTACCTTATCCATCACTTTAAACATTTATCATTTCTTTGTGGTGACATGTAAAATCCTCTAGCTATTTTGAAATATATACTACTTTATTATTTGCTATAGTCCCCCTACTGCATGCTATCAATTTGATTCTTTATTAAAGCAAACAGCCGTACATATAAATGGCAGCACAGTATAGCTCTACTCTAGGTACTTTTCAGAGAGTATAATATTTAATTCATGGTTATCCAATATAAACAAAAACTCAACTAAGGAAATATTGGTGAGTACATATTTTCTGAAAGATATGAAATCTTATATATTGAGGATAAGAGTGATATAAAATCTTTTTCTGGATTAAACCAGTTGATCTGAGAGCAGTTTACAAGGAACACACCATGTTAATCACATCGGACAGTTGATTTTATTAAATTGGTTTTGGCAGGGTGTTCCCACCCTATGCTGAGTGAGACCTTTGTCAATTCTCCCTTATTCACTGTATTGATGTCACAATATTTTTGATATGATATTGATTGCATTACAGTGTTTACTCTATGTTTACTTTTGGAAAATTTTTCTTTCTGGTTTTACTTTCTAGAAATTATTGAGATTCTCGTGAACAACAGATTCTTTTATTTTGAAATGGACTTTGTGATCATACTTCCATCTACATTGACTGAAAAAAAGCAGTTAGACAAATGTATGTCTTACCCTTATAACTTCTTGGTAAATATTCTTGCCGCATGTCTGTCTTTGTTCTCTCTCAGTCTTCTTGCTCTATGTGTGTGACATTGTTGTTATTTTTATCTTATCTTTATTTTTACCAAACAATTGCAACTCATCTTTTATATGTTAGATAGGTCATTTAGCAAATTTTAGACAGTGAAATATTTTTATAACCCTTTTTTTTCTTTGTTTCTTTTCTTTTCTTTCCTTTTTTTTTTTTTTTTTTTTTTTGGAGAAAGAGTCTCACTCTCTCACCCAGGCTGGAGTGCAGTGGCACGATCTCGGCTCACTGCAACCTCCGCCTCCCAGGTTCAAACAATTCTCCTGCCTCAGCCTCCAGAGTAGCTGGGATTACAGGTGCCTGCCACCACAGCTGGCTAATTTTTATATTTTTAGTAGAGATAGGGTTTTACCATGTTGGCCAGGCTTGTCTCAAACTCCTGATCTCAGGTGATCCGCCTGCCTCAGCCTCCCAAGGTGCTGGGATTACAGGCATGAGCCACTGCACCAGTCTTTTATAACCCTTTCTATTGTTGTTCTTAAAATATACTTGTACAAAAGTCTTAGCACAATATCTGGGCACAGCAATAGTCATAAACATGTCAGGTGACATCATTATTACTGCTATTATGATAGATTCAACTGCTAATTAAATCTTAAAATCCTTTATTGAGAATCCAAATGAAGACAAATTACACTCCTCAATGTGAATCCTACTCCCCTACAACCATCAAAGAAATATTTCCTCTTCTATATTGCCAAAAAAAATCTCTTTTTAGTTATCTCCTTAGAGTATGTGTAGTTATATTTGTTACAATTATTTTTAATCTGGTTTATTCCCCTGGCCCACCACACTGTGTATTCATAATCCTGGCAGAATGGTAATCGTAAACGCTTAGCTGATGTTTGCTAAATGGCAAATCCAGGTAACACATTGAATTTAAAACCTGAAATCTCATGTAACTTTGACATCCTCAAGACATAGAGTTATCATAATTATATAAAAGAAATGAATAAAAGTTTAATCAATCAAAAAGAAAATAGAGTTTATAACCCTGATTATGATGGAATACTTTATTGAACTGCTGGAGGATGTAAGCATTTCAAATATTCTAAATTTGTTAAGTTTAATAATGTTATAAAAATTGACTTGAGAGAGGGTGGGAGATAATGATGACTAATCATGTCTACTCCAAAATCAAAAATTCCAAATAGGGAATAATAAGAAGAGAAAGAGAACTGAGAAGTCATATGAGTATCTTCTCACATCTCCAAGGATACCTATATCACTAAAGGATGTCATGTAATAGATAATTTTGTGGGCTTCCAGAAAGAAAGCAATCTCATTTTAAATCATTTCTAAATAAATTTCACACTTAGAAAGCAACTGTTTTGCATACAAACTTTTGTCATGAAAATTGCGAGTAGAAAAGAAGGGTATCCTTGTTAAATTGGCATAATGATTCCCCACGGGTTCAACCATCTGAATGGTTAGAACAAAATAATTGAGAGCAACAAAACATTAAAATTATTTTAAAAGCACCACAGTGTGTTTGGATAACACAATGTTTCAATATGTTGCAGCTGTTAATGACAAGAAATAATGTTTTTAAGGAAGCAATCTTCAATTAATCATTTCCTCTTTTAGTGGGATAATTTATGGAAATGAAATGAAGCTAATAAACCAGAAAGAATGGGAGGAAAGAAAATAGTTAAATAAATTGCTTCCTTTTGTAACAACAAAAAAGTCATGATATCCATCATTTGACCAGAAATATCATGTTGCTAAAGGCCTTATTTAGCATTTGATTCTCTTCCAATATAGCAGAAACAGAAGGCATCACATTTCAGCTTTCTATTTATTCACTCTCCATTTTAACCCCATAAATGTCTCGCAAGATTGAAATGTTAATAATGCAACCATCTTAGGAAATTTGATGTTATGTAGAGAAGACAGAGATGGATGAGGTTGTGAACCATATTCATTCAATTTTGATTTGTTATCAATTTTGATGTTCTACTTTATTGTAAGTTTAATTTGTAAATAATACATGTAAAACTAAAACATAATTTAGGAGATGGGTAAATGAATGCCAATTATTTTACATATTTATTTAGGTTATTTAGCAAATACAGTTAGTTGCTGTACCACATAAAGACAAATAAAATTCCAGTGGTTTTTATTATAATTTTAGTATTTCTCTCAATAATACTCAGTGTCAAAGGTCAAGAATAGGAGGAAAGGAAATGTTGCCCATAAACTCTTGGTAACACAGAATACTGTAGCAATGCCTAACTTAAAGTATAAACAGCATTACTTAGATTTTTCTCATTGGACTCTACATGATTTTCTGCAGAAATACAATAGATGCTCTATCAGTAGAAAAGACTAATTTAACTTCCAGTGGCTGGAAAACATTTCAAAGATGAGTCAATATCTCTTGAAAATACATAAACTATTTAAAAATTTATAAAATGAAAACAAAAAAATTCATTCATTCTTAACATTCATGTATATTTTGAACCTGAGCATTAAGATGGCTAACAGGCAGGCGTGGTGTTTCACACCTGTAACTCCAGCACTTTGGGAGGCTGAGGAGGGTGGATCACCTGAGGTCAGGAGTTCAAAACCAGCCTGACCAACGTGATGAAACTCCATCTCTACTAGAAAAAGAAAAATACAAAATTAGCTGGGCATGGTAGTGCATGCCTGTAATCCCAGCTACTTGGGAGGCTGAGGCAGAAGAATTGCCTGAACCCGGGACGCAGAGGTTGCATTTTGCAGAGATTGTGCTATTGCACTCCAGCTTGGGCAATAAGAGCGAAACTCCATCAAAAAAAAAAAAAAAACCTAACAAACTATTTAATAATATCATATATTGTAGTGCAAATAAAAGTCTACAGTATATACTGAAGTATATAACAGTGATTTTGTTTACTTTTTGAGGTAATGCCTAGTACAATGTCTTTCCAATGTCTAGTATGACATTTTCACCAATTAGATTCTATGTAAATATTCAATGTGTTTTTGCAGGCATGTATGTGTGCATGTACCAACAAATGAATGCATGAATGTGTAGTTAAGAACATGCATGTGTGCTTAACCCATTTACTAGAAATAGGACCAATAAATATGAAGTTAGTGGATGTAGCTTGCCAAGTACAAAAATACAATGAAACCTTAAATAAAATTTAAACTTGTAATTTTTCACCTGGCTAAAATTTTAATTTTAAACTACTTTGTTTTATGCCCTAAATTAAGATGTCTTTGGTGCTGGGAAGTAATTATTAACCAGGATATAGCATTTAGAATTTTACAGTTTTAAGTAGTTTCTAATCTTTCCTGAATCCATAGATTCCTGAAGATGTGAACTTAAAATTGGCTAGTCTGTGTGTGTGTGTGTGTGTACATATATACGTGTGTGTCTATATATGTGTATGGATGTATATATATACACACACATACATATATATACACATACATATACATAGATATAGGTATGAATATATATACAAATGGTTAAACAGTCATAGGGCCAATATATTTTAATTTTATTATTCATAAATATTTTTTGCAGTAGAGTCACCAGTATCTTACTTTCAGAGATGATTAATTTGAAATATGATAATAAAATTTGCTGTGTGGCTTCAAAGTTAACTTTGAAGCCACTTGAATAGTTACATTGAACACTGTACTTGATGTCTTGTGATGTCATGGGTAATATGCTTCGTATAGGGCAGGCTGAAACTCATTTACTTAAAAAGCAATACCAATATGAAGATATCTACTGTAATATTTATTTAGTTTATACTGAACATCTGGTATGTTTTATTTTCATGATTTTATAGCAAATGCATTACAAAAGAAAGCACAAATAATCTCTATGCCAGAGCAAAATTACCATAGGAATGTTTACTTTAAAAAATCAGGAAACATGGACTTTAATGTTTCATTTACTTTTCCCCAAGAGATATGATGGGAGATGGAAAACACCCATTTGCTGAAGCAGAAACCTTCCATAAACAATAATGAAAATACCATCCTGTATTTTAATGGTATGTGATCCTTATAACTTTTGGAATAAAAAATGCAGCAAGCTTTTAAAAAAATCTTAGTTTGTAACAGTTAAATTGTAGGTGTATGAACAGGTGATCTCTGATGACATACTTAAAGACTTCAATGGAGAATAATGATACGCAAGCTATTTCAAACCTCTTCTTATTCATGTTATCTGTGCATTTGCCTTGCACACATATAATATGAATAATTAGACTTTTTTCCTCAGCAGAAGACAAGTGTCATGATGACTATCTCCAGTGAAAATATTCAAAAAGGGTTTATAAAAATCATAGAAGTTAATACTGCAAGTATTTGATTCTAAGACGCACACTTCTTTATACTTTAATATCTCTGATATCAGAATGTGTCTTACAATTGTTCTTGATCTGAGTTGAAGTTGCTTTTTTCTAGGAGAAATTCTTTCTTACTTCTGACAGATATGTGGGATCCTACTGATATGATACCTCTTTAAATTAAAGTCTCTGTCCGAAATTTGGGTCCATTCTGTTCGTGTGAATTCGGAAAGTAAATCTTCATAAATACCACCTTGTAGTTCAAGGAGTATTTTTTAATCTCTTTCTAACCAGACATGATTATGATTGAAACAGACAATTTTCCTTGCTATTATCATCTGAATAAGAGTTTATTTCTCCTTTAGTCTAGTCCTGAGTCATTTGGTGTCCCAGTTTGATGCTGGGATCATCTAGTAGACTGACCATCTTCAGCAGTTTTTTTTTTCTTAAAAGTACATAAAAGAATGGTGTATTTTATATTATGTCATCTGAGACTTGATGAAATTTGATAATTTATTAAAGGTAGGGATTACTTTTAGGGCTGACATCATGCTCATCTATCAAATATTGAGACTCCTCTTGGGGCTAAATGCTCAGATTCATCACTGGAAGAGGCTAAGACACAGACTATAATAGCACTGCTACAAAATACTAAATTTACAGTTCTACAGATCATAAAGATGGCATTGTCAAAGACATTTTATAAAATTTTGGAATGATTCTGATGCCAACCAAGATATAAATTGAGATGGACAGTTATGGAGATAATTAAGAAGATTGGATTCTGTGGACATATTACTGTGAGGTGCCAGGAAGGTAATGCATGCATGCAAAACTATTAGAAAGTGAAATTCAATGATGGCATTCAACTAGAAGATAGGATATAAAATATTTCAAAGATTCAGAAACCTAACATGATGGTACAGTTAAAAAAAAATTAGTACTGATGGTGTAGTTTTTTTTTTTTTCCTTTCTGGACATGTAAATCATAATATGGCCCATTCTTAGTGAGAAAGAAAATGGGAAGTGGTTTATAGGTAAATTGCCTTCGTCAGTCATTTTCTTGAGTACAAAGTCAGATGAGCTCCAATTTTGTACACAGCAATTATTTTACGGAAGGGAACAGATTGGAAACAACCTGAGCTTCCTCTTTAGCTTCCTGTATGAGGTGTGAGTGGGAAGACAAGAGTTGCCAGCACACATATATTAAGATTTGATACTAAAATCTCCCCTAGGTGACCAGCCACCGGCGACAGAGGAGAGTATCCTGGGATCAAGAGGAGGTGTAGCTGGATTTTTCTGTTTCACCTGGCCTAGTTCACCACTCGAGCCACTTTACATATAAGGGAGCAGAGTGCCAAGTGAGTGTTAAATGTTTCATCTAAAGTGAAATTTCTTCCACCTTAATTCTGAGTTATTCTGTATATAGTCTCTCTATTAAAACCTCTGGATGTGTAAACTATAGAGTGTTACAGAATATGTTTACCATTACAGCTGGAACTGATCATCCTGAAGTGTGTAATTTGGCTTCATGTTGCTTACCAGCTTTCTGTGAAAACATCTCATATTTTTATGCTTCCACATGAGCACATATATTTTATTCAATGTGAGAATTAATATTAGCAAGACAACATACATGATTTAGTAAGGCTGGGCTCCGGATTTTTGCCCATTTTACTTTCAAATACTGACGTCAACTATTCCAAAATAATCACTGATTCCTAATGGTAAGACTTAGCATGGCCAAATGGGAATGCCTACCTTAGTTTCCAAATATTTGAAATTTAGTGTAATTTATGGTGTATATGGTTTATGTGTAGTCATTATCAAAACAAGCAGACAAGGGGAAAAGAGGCATTCAAAAAGGAATATTTTATTGCTGGAGGGCTTGCTGGGCTAGTTTACCCTTTCCTCTCAGATATCACAAACATCTAGAGTTGTTTACCACAACCCTCCCCCAAAAGACCCTGTAACACTGAACAGTTGCACTTTCTCTTCTCTCTCCAGTGTGCATCTGACGTAAGAATCAGGAGGTAAATTTATTTACACTCACTTTATTTCTTACTTCTTATGGCTAAGCCATTCTATATGCCAAATTTTAATAGTCTTTAACTACTCTAATTTTATCAAAACACATCTTTAATATCTGAAACACTCTCCAAACCCCAGTCATTCAATGGTTAACAATATTTATGTATCCACAGTCATACTTTTCATAAAAATTCCTTTGGTCAGTTTTTCCCCATATATATTTACACTCATAACTCTAGCATGAATATAATTTTGAAATTCTAACTGAATCTATAAAGGGATCACTAAACAAATGAATATGCCATTAAGATTATATATGCATATAATCTCTAAAAATTTTCAAAACACAGCATAGTGTCCTACACATGATGGCATATAATCAATATATATTAGTCAATTGATTAATTCATAATGATGTTTCCTAAGAGAGATCTTATTTTTGAATATAATGGTGTTGATAATAACAATGTATGACATAAGGTATTTTTTACAAAAATCAAAAAGTGCTATTAGTTCAAATCTCTACTGAAAAACAAAAGTAATAAGACATGTATCTAGATTATAACTTGAAATTTTTAGATCATTCAGTCATTCAACAAATATTTGTTATCTACAATACTCATAATGTTGTATTGATATAAACCTAGAAATATACAACAAGCAAAATAATGTTTCATTTTGATATGGAGATTAAAGTCTGATTGGTTCAGTTACATTCTCCTGATTCTTTTACTTCCAGTAATTATCATTAACTCTCCACATATAGGCAAACAGATTATTTAGTGTAATGAATTAATATTTCAAAATATTACATTGCTGGAATGGTGCTGATCATAATTCAATATTTTTCCATGAAACAGATTATGAAAGATTAGCAAATATTTTAGGATTTGATTGAAATATGCTATTTGAAAAAATTTAAGGAGAGTGTTCAATAAATGCACCATACTAATGCAGGGACAGTCGTAACATTTACTCCAGTTTTGTGGTCTCTTTCTTATTTATAGTAAAGATAATCACAGATAGGAAAGTCCCTGGTGAGAAAATTTGCAATCAAAGTGGTTCCGAAACACTGGCTTTATTCATGGTTACCCGTCTCCTGGTAGTAGGATTCCCCAAACAATCCCGTGAGCATTCGTAAATCAAATACCAGCCCATCCAGCTTATGCCAAAGGGGGATCTGAATTTTAGAAAGTAAGTTTTGGAATGTATGCTGGGGTTCTATGTGTGGTAATGTTTTATTAAAATCCATAAACATGAATATTCCACACATAAAATTAGTAAATCAAAGAAAAGTCAACTGATAAATATTAACTACTTTTAGAATAAATGGCATCAAAAAAATTAATAGAATAATTATGTTAAGTGACAATGTTTACATTGTACATTTCAGCCATTTTTAACTATGTTCATTAGCAGTATTGTCATTGATAAGTTCCCCCAGCAGAGGGAAGCATAACCTCATTATTATTTCCATAGTAATATGGCATAATGTTTCAATTATGGAAAGTGGGGCATCACTACAATTTTACTGCATTTTAAGTGAAGGTTGGTTGATGTTTCTGCATTTACTAAGCAACTTTGACATTAAATAGGCTCTGACATATTTTAGGAAGCAAAAAATGAATTTGGTACAAAATGCCCAGTGTAAGGGAATACCCTACTAGTAATTCAGTGTAAAGATATCCACATTATCTTCTGCTTGACTAGGATACCCAATAATGATATATTAGGTTTATATCATGAGCATATAAATGAATCATTTTAAGGCATATTTTAAGACTGTAGTTTTTGCTTTGGTATATTTTAATGTACATTTCCATTCCCTACTCATCTCAGGTTGCTACTATATACAAAATGAAGTACTTAAACATGGCTTCTTTTTGTTAATATAAGAAAGTTGAGCTTTAAACCTTGTAAGCATCTAAAATTTTGAATTTATCATCATAATAAAACATAATTTATGATAATAAAACATAATTCAGTGCCTTGTGTTCTTTAGGATTTTCTTTCTGTAAGATTTTACTTCTCTTCGGCTGCATTTCTTTAAGTATTCTGAGAGATGCATACATTGCATGCATATGCATGAATATGCATTATTATGATTTTAGCCTGGTCTTAGCAGGTTGAAAGATGAAAAATGTGACTTACCATGGTGTAAGTCTGAACAGTGAGTCAGTGGGTCTCCATTTCTTATATCTTGTCGTCTTGTGCGTCTGAAGCAATTACATTTAAAAGGTGTTATTGTATCCTTATTTTTCCCTTCTAGGAATTTGTCATAAGAATGAAGAGAAATAAAATATATATATATATATCATAGACTCTAGTAACTTACAGGAACAGATGAATCTACATCCAACTAAAAGATTTTTTTAAAAAACAGTTCATTATACCTGTAAGAGCAGTCTCCAAGATGATCAAAATGGGAAACAAGATCCAAATGTACTAACAACATGTTAAAAGTCTTTAAAATAGTGATAACAGAGAATTCATGGCTTTTTCACTACCAGATGTCAGTCAGTAACAATCTAATGTCTAGAAACTCAAGGCCTAACTTCTGTGGAAAAAGCACAAAATTTAAAATAATAATCCATTTTTTTCAATAAAGGGTAAATTAAACTTTTTTTCTGATTATTAATGAAGGAATAAGCTTGAAAATTATAATTCACATGAATGTTCTCTTTCTCTAAATGCTTACACATAATTATTTAAATAGACTTTTGCTAAATTTTATAATATTAAGACTAGAAATTCTATTTTTAAGCTAGTTTTAAAATTTCTTTTCTTGGTTATTGTATCAACCTATCCTTTTTTTTTTTCTTTCTTTCTTTTTTTTTTTTTGAGACAGAATCTCGCTCTGTCGCCCAGGCTGAAGTGCAGTGGCGTGATCTCGGCTCACTGCAAGCTCCGCCTCCCGGGTTCATGCCATTCTCCTGCCTCAGCCTCCTGAGTAGCTGGGACTACAGGCAGCCGCCACCATGCCCAGCTAATTTTTTGTATTTTTAATAGAGACGGGATTTCACCGTGTTAGCCAGGATGGTCTCGATCTCCTGACCTTGTGATCCGCCCTCCTCGGCCTCCCAAAGTGCTGGGATTACAGCGTGAGCCACTGCGCCTGGCCATATCAACCTGTTCTTTTTTAAAACAGTTTATTTTATGATCATATGGCTATGATTGCAAACCAATTTACCTGTGAAGTGAATAAAAGCAACAATAAATGTTGAACTTAAGGGCAAGGCCTCCTCTTGCCAGAGGAATGAGAGAGAGAATAAATGAACTTACATTTAAGAGAAAAGCAAAGTTTGCTTATAAAAATCAAACGATTTCTTCTACATTCTACCCCCAGATCACATGTGAGCTGCAGCACGTTGTGGGTATCCTTTTTCTACATTTTGCTAATGGTTGCCTGGGAAGGAGGAGGTAGGCTGTAGTCACTGCGGTGCAACAAAGATGTGAAGTTCCAGGAAGAGGCTAAAAATGGAGACTGGCTATGTGTAACAGACTGGAAAAGATTGGGGGACACTTGCCCAAGTGTTTGCTGCTGCTATTTTAATGGGTATTGTCTTGCTGCAAAATTAGTTACCATCCCTAAAAAGAACTCTCACAAAGGCCGTTGAGAATTGCAAATATGGAATTTGTTACTGTATTCATAAATTTAGAAGTCTAAAGTATTTATAGATTTCTATTTGTAGAATTAGTGAAACTATCAAACAGATGTTGCACATTTCAAAATTGAGCCAACAAGAGAACTTGTGAAACACGAACTACAAAGCATTTGGGAAGGCATTTTTCACTGCCATTTAAGATTTTGAAAAATGCCATCACAAAGAATATATAAATCATGAGGCTTCTAAACATCCTTTTTAAAGACAGCGTGTCACTCATGAAATTGGATTAAGTAAAATCTGTAAGGCATAACAAAAATGTGCTAATGAAAATTCCTTCAATCTTGAATTGTAGGTATACAATAAATACTTTTCAAATATGTAATAACATATAGGTTTTAACTTATAGATGTGTTGATTTTCTTTTTATCTCTTTCCTTATTAAGAAGAGCTTAAAATTCAAATAGATTATTACTAAATTAGGTAATATTATAAACTTTCACATGAAGAAGAAATAATACTCATTTTAGTTCAAACACGAATTCCACTTTTTTTTTTTTTTTTTCGAGACAGAGTCTTGCTTTGTCACCCAGGCTGGAGTGCAGCGATGCAATCTCAGCTCAGTAAAACCTCTGCCTCCTGGGTTCAAGCAATTCTTCTGCCTCAGCCTCCCAAATAGCTGGGATTACAGGCATCCGCCACCACACATGGCTAATTGTTGTATTTTTAGTAGAGATGGGGTTTCACCATGCTGGCCAGGCTGGTCTCAAACTCTTGACATCGTGAGCCGCCTGCCTTGGCCTCCCAAAGTGCTGGGATTACAGGTGTGAGCCACGGTGTCGGGCTGAATTCCACATTTTAAAGTAAGATAATAGCCACCTAGAGTTAAATGTTTTTGAGAAGCATTAACTTTTAATCTTAAAAAATTTAATGTTACTGCTGTAAAGACTGCATATTGCTATTCCTTAAATTACCTACGGTTTCTTTAATGAACAGACATTATCTCCACAATAAGTTTTATTTTAAATTTGAAATTTCGACAAAATGAATGGTTATATAAAAGTAATACGAACATGTTACCTCAATTCTGAATGTTAAAGGTTTAATAATTGTATTTCTTATATGATATAATACTGCGTATACATTTAATATTATTAACAGGATACTGTGTTTTAATCCTTTGGACTACTTATATAACAGACTAAATTGTAGATGATTTTACACTCAGTCAATGTTATCTAAAGTGTGTAATCAAGAGATTTAAGTAGGCATTAGGGCCATTTCTTTGCTCAAATATTTTACCAAATATTCAAACTGATACAAATGTTGTAGGACATACCTCATTAGCTATGAAAATCTACATTCATAGCTTCTTTGAAAAAAATAGCTATAATAAACAATAAAGAAATCAAATTATATTGCTTCTAAAATGCAGAGGTTTCATAAAGCTGGTTCCATTTTATATTTCAATAGGTTGATATACATGCTGTTAATCTTTGGGCTCATATTAACGAGATACTGTATGTTAATTTCATCCACCATTCTCATTTCCTAAACCCTGCTAAATGTTGAAAGAGAAAGACATCCTTCAGTGAGTAGTAAAGGATATGTTTTTGAAAGGGCTATTTTGTCAAATGAAGAAAGAGTTATCTTAGCAACTTTTATTCAAGCATGTCCAAAAAAATACTTTTAAGTATTATCAAGAGTATGTTTAAGAGATATATATGTATATATATGCTGGGCGCAGTGGCACACGACTGTAATCCCTGTAATCCCTCTCAAAGGCCAAGGCATGAGGATCACGAGGTTAGGAGATCGAGACCATCCTGGCCAACATGGTGAAACCCTGTGTCTACTAAAAATACAAAAATTAGCTGGGCATGGTGGTGCACGCCTGTAGTCCCAGCTACTCGGGAGGGTGAGACAGGAGAATCTCTTGAACCTGGGAGGCAGAGGTTGCAGTGAGCCGAGATTGTGCCACTGCACTCCAGCCTGGTGACAGAGTGAGACTCCATCTCAAAAAAAAAAAAAAAAAAAAATATATATATATATATACACACACACACACATATACATATATACACATATACATATAGATATACACATATACATATATATTGCATATGCACAGATAGATATTTTACTACATGGTTTTATGTTTCAAGTTCAGACACTGCAAATGCAAGGTGATGCTATAATAATATAATAACACTTAAATTTTCTTGAAACAAATAGACGTATTTTGTGATGTTAATCAAAATTACATATATCACATATTAAAATGTAATATTTTCAAAACTAGAAATAAATTCTTCTGGACTTTTTATAATTAGGCCCCTGTGTACTACCTAAGACTCTAAAGGAAAATAAATTCCTTTCTCTGATCATTTTCTGTTCATCCAGAGACATAAATTGCCTTATTAAAGTTTAAAAATGAGACAGAATGTTGCTGGATAGAAATAGAAGAACATGTTTGGAAAACAGAGTATTTTGGTCTAAAGGGACAAGACTCAGTCTAGATTCTGTTTATGACTTTCTCTGTGACTTTTTTTCTGATTGTTTTAACTATTTGAAGAGAAGAGAAAAAACAAAACGCAACAATCCCCTCCATCTGCTCCCAAATCTTTTTATTCATTAGAAAAAGTTGATGCACTTATTTGAAGAAAGCTATTTCAAACTTGGAATCAGATAGGATAACTAGCAAACATTTCATTTATTTTGAATATTTTTCCTACCTCTTTGCAGTGGGAAAATAGCGAGAACATGCAGAACCATCCCAAGCACAGTAAGGGTCTCGGGCGAGGCAACACTCAGCACACGCTTTCCCGTAAATATCACACCGGTGTAAAGGGAGCTGGGCAACCCCAGCCGTTGAACCAATATATAGTTGTTGCTGTGGAAAGAGTTTACTGCTGTGACAAAAACTATCTTGTCTTTTAAATCTCTTGTTCTCTTAAAAAAGAGTTTATTTATATATAACTTCTCAGAGATAAATTAAGGGTTTAAAAAAATCATCCCTTTATTGCTAATTTCTTTAAAGGCCTTCTAGACAAGATGGCAGTTTAAAATGGAGCAAGAGCAAGTTCTAAATATTTGACTGAAACAAGTGTCTTTTATTAAGTGTAAAACAAAGGAAAGATGAAGACAGTAATACACCAACCAATGTAATGTTCAAAGCTACAAGTTTTGTTCTTTGCAAGTTTGCTTTTTTACCTTTACTGTATATAATACTCATATACCAAAATGTCTTTATTACCATGTGTTCCAGATTGGCCAGAGGCAGGAACCATTGCTTCTGACTTCTCAGTACCCTATTGTATTGCCTGTGATGGAGTGTGCCCTTTCCTATGATATGGGAAGGGGCAAAATTTTGGTGCTTACATTTGAAAAAACTTTGGGCTCAACACCAAGAACTGTCTTACCCTTGCACTACCTCCAGGAAGATTACTTTTAAAAAGACTACTAAATTACTACCCTTCAAAACGTCTTTGAAAAGAGGCACTAAGTACACTCTGGTGCAGTCTGCCAAACCAAAAGCTGAAGTGTTGTGGAAAAAGCATAGGGTTGAGCATGAAGATACCTGGATTCTAGGTCTCGCTGCCCATTAACACCCTGTGTGATCTTGAGCTATTCATATAATTTTTCTAAGAATTAACTTCCTTATTAAAATGAGCATGTTTAATAGGTCTTTAAAGTATGCATTCAGATAAACATTCTACAATGCATTTATTCTCAATGAAATTGGTGTTATTGAAAGACCCAGAATATGGAAGATTAAAAAAATTGTTTTTCTAATAATTCAGGATTTCAGTACAACTTTTAAAATGCCTTTAACAAAGTTGAGCCAATGTAGCATATTAGCTGCAAATTTATTTAAACACAAAATGAAATAAAATTATTTTGCAATTTCTCCACATTTACTGTTATTGGCACCATAGCTCTCTTTTCTTGCACTAGAGGATTCAATAATTATAGTAAGCCTTAAGTAAAACTTACATAAATACTGAAACATGTAATGTTTTCATACATTGAAAAGACATCAAAAGTGTATTTTAGTTTCTCTAGTATATAAATAAAAAATGAGTTTTAGAAAAGTCAGTCTCTGAACAATGATATGCTTTTTTAATACTACACATTTTCTAATAGTTAACAATGAATATAAATGAAATTGCATTTCCAAAGGCTTTCATGTATAAACTGCATGTATAAATAACCAGATAAATTGAATGCAGACTGAAGTACCTATGAGAATCTAAGAAAATATTAAGGTTATAAGGAGTGTTTACATAGAAAATAGTTCTCTGCTGAAATCTCACCAACTAACTTATACCTTATTACAAGCAAAGTAAATAAGGGGAAATGTAATACAATAAAATCTAAACCATTGTGGAAACATTTATCTTCATTAATATTATTATTCCATTTCACTAAATGGAAAAAATGAAATTATAGCATATATTACTAAGTGCTCAATTTTTTGCTATATTCAACTTTTATTATAGTATTGAATTTTGCTATAAACCAGGACAAATTAAGAAATGATGGTTAAATTCTTTGGGAAAAATAGATTAAGTATTGTTAAGCTTTCCTTCCCCATTTCTCTCTCTTTCTTTCTTTCTCTTTCTTTCCTTTTCTTTTTCTTTCTTTCTTTCTTTTCTTTCTCTTCTTTCTTTCTTTTTCTTTCACAGACTCCTTTTTTAAAATGAACTTAGACACTATTGAATGTAAGCAATTTCAGTATATGGATGTGTCAATCCATACATTGTGTTTGCAACTATTTTGAAAAGCTACTCAAGTTAGTCCTACAATCAAGATCTCTGTTTCGCCAATAACGTCTAAGAAGCATGAGCAAAATGTATATTTATAGATTTTTTTAAGAATATGACATTTAAGTAGGAAAAGTGTTATTACCTAAATAACAGTATCTAATTATGTCATATTCCTTTAGGGGAGAAACAGAGAAATAGTATGTGGAAAGAATAGCAAACCAAAATATAGCAGCTGAAATTATTATGATGAAAACCTGAACTGTGATAAAATGCCAAAAGTAACTATAAATCAGTCATGTTCATTTTACCATAATTTTGCAGTATTATTAATGAAGTGCAAAAATAATTATGCTATCCAAATGAAATATAGGGTAAGCCTTTAGGCACCATTGAGCAGAATCCAGTCACTAGTAAGTTACCTGATGTGCTTTTTCTGCCCAATTTAACATCACCACAGGCTTTCTCACTATCCTCCTTAACAAAGTGTGGGGTATAGCAGGAGATGGGTTCATTTATCCAGAAAATTACTTGCAACACTACTTGTCCCTCTTGAAACTACTATCTCACTTTAAAAATGCCCATAAGCATGAATGAAATTGAGTCATATCTGAACGAAATCAAATCATTTCTTCCAGTAATGGAAAATAAAGGAAAAAGACACTTTCTTCTCTCATGGTATTTTAAACTGATAGATTGTTTTTCTTTGTCAGTAAAATGTTGGCTTAATATGTACTTTTTTAAACAGATTTAAAAATGTAAAACAGAAAGAAATGGTTTACAAAAATAGACGTGGAGTTAGTGCAATTAAGACTGGCAATGAGGCCTAGCAGAGAATAAATAAATAATTTTAAAAATCATTACAGGAAAGAATATCCCAGTCTAGCTTCCATCCTGGAAATCCCCAGATTTCTTTGCCAACCTCTAACAATTTTCAGATTACGAGAACAGATGAACACATACTTATGCAGTGTAAGATAACAGTATCAGGTCAATCGTATCTGCACTCTGGGTTGCTCTAAATATCTTGGAGATTATCGATCTATTTTGATATGTCTGTGTAGGAAAAGGATATACACTGAATTTTACTGGCAGAGTAATTTAGTGTCTTGTTCAAGGGATAAAGCATGGTCAGAGATAAAACATGTAAACAGTTCAGAAATAAGATTTGCCAAATGATTCTCATTTTACAATTTTGTATATAAGTTTTTACTCTAGTAAGTGAGGCATACCCTACTTCATTCTGGATTTTTCTGCTTTTTTTTTTTTTTTTTTTTTTTGAAGTTACCATTGATATACTGGACAGAAGAAAGTCTAGGTAACATTTATGGAGAAAATATTAGACATTAAAACTATATTTGTTTACACATATTACACAGTATTTAGAAGCAATTGACTTTTCTGAAGTGTCTTGCCAAAGCATCCATTTGATATGAATGGAAAGACTATTAACATGCTGCCCTTAACCTTTGAATTCATGAAGTTTTAGTACTTATTTGGCAGTGATCATTTTTTTGCTTTCATTTGATATTTAGCCAAAGTTAAATACACATTTTGTTTTCTCTAGCATACAATACTACTGGAAAAGTAAAATTAACTTTTAAGTCAAGGTCCTCCAAACACATATAGCCAGTGAATAATTTTACTAGCCTCTAAAAATGCATTTTTGTTTATATTTGCAAAGTAAGAATAAATTATAAATTTTTTTTATATCCTGAAATATCACAATGCTATTTCAGGGTATACACATAAATACATAATCAGAAAAGATGAAAATTATTATTGAGTATTGAGTAAATTATATTAAAATGACCAAAATACACTGTATGTAAAAATTTATAACAAATAATGATCCATAAAATAATGTTTATAGAACACAGATGAGATTGATCAAAAACATGAGGGCAATGAAAACTATCTTCAGTTTCTAATCTACTAGCTTATTGTAAGAATGATATTTGTTTTCTCCTGTATTTTTGTATAATTGTTAACAAATCTGTGAAATTTGATAAATAGATATATCTATTGAAACACCAGAATTAACAAAATATTGGATATTCAATGGTAATACATAATGATAGTACCTGCTTAGTGGAAAGCTCCATTGCTGAAATAGCAGTCGGTTCCTAAAGGAGAAAAAGAAATATGTGAGGTGTTTGGTCAATTAGAACAGCCAGCTATTAGTTAATTAACTCAAGGCACTGCCATTAGTTTTCAGAGAGAAACTTCAGTGTCCACAAGAAGCAATGTGACTGGGAAATAAGACACATAAAGAAACTGCATAGATAAGGGTCAAATATGTGGAGCAGGCAATAAGATTGTGTCAGTGTCATACAGTCTACATACCTGTAGTTGACCAAGTTGGGGTTATTGCTTACTACAATATAAGGGAAAACATGAGCCTGCACAGTGAGCACAGTGAGAGGGTGTTGGAAAAAACATGTTTTGGACTTGTGTTAGGTGATTGGGGGAGGGTTCAAAGAAGTAGAGCTTTGTTCTACATTGGATGTGGTCAAAAAGCAGGGGTAATTCTATGCTTAAGTATCTTCGTAAATCATTTGGGAGGGAAGAACAAAGTAAGGCTAAAGCTATGACTGGCGAAGAAGTAGCAATAACTTGCGATAAGCAGGATGGGGATATATGGTCATTTTTGTGGTTTGGACAATGTTCATGTTTTTATCTGTGTTTGGACATGATTACAAAATGGTTTTGCTTTTATCTTGATTCAGCATGGTCTCAGAGTGGTCCTTTCTGATGTTGGTATTCTGCGAAAATTGTTCTGTTCAACTGGAGAACGCTGCCTTAGCTGAGAGTGCCAGCCTCATTCCTAACAACACCAGTGGCAGCTGATGAGAGTAGGCCACTTTCCAGCTGACAAGGACTACAAGAGCTCAGGTGGGATGAGATTACTTCATTATTATGAAAAACATGGTTTCATGTGCGAGGACCTACACTCAGGTCTTTGCCAGAGAATATAATCTCTTTAATGTCTATTAACAGGTTAACATAGAGGAGTAATAACTAGGGAAGTAACACTCATCAATGCACTTCATTAAGTGTTCTTTCTGGAGCTTATCATGAATGCATATAGGCTTGCATAAATAAATTGGGTTCTTTGATGTAGACAGACTACCAAAAGCCTATATAACTGAACACATGAGTTTACATCCTTTAGGTTCATGGTCAATGAACTGTGCTGCAGTTCATTCAAGACAAACATTATGTGTCTTTCATTCAAGACAAACATTACGAGAAGACAGAGACTGCTTGTGGGTTTCTGAGGGGTCTGATAAGAAAGAGGCTTAGGTGGAACGATGGATCTTAAAAGACCTCACTGTGTAGGTGACCGAAGCTACTAAATTAAGTGTGAAGAGCTGGACTCTGGAGCCCAGGTGCCTGGATTCAAATTGTGATTCAAATCTGGCCAGAAATGCAGTACTAGGCAAAGTGTGTAAACTTTTTGTAATTCAGTTTTCTCATTTGAAAGTTAGATGGTACCTCTTATGGGGTGGTGATAAGACTGAATGAATTAATACATGTAAAACACATTACAAATGTGCTTGGTATATAGTGTTTATTCAAATCTCTCTTTCCTCTCTTCTCTCATCTCTCTCTCTTTCACACACACACACACACACCCACACGCACACACACATGCATTTCCATCTCATTTCCTTGCTTTAATTTTTCTCTTTAGTTCTTATTACTGGTTATATACCTGTATATTTATACACATCTTATCTAATATATTATTAATAATATATCTTAATAATAA
Source organism: Homo sapiens (assembly GCF_000001405.40). Classification (NCBI taxonomy): domain Eukaryota; kingdom Metazoa; phylum Chordata; class Mammalia; order Primates; family Hominidae; genus Homo; species Homo sapiens. Next base: position 83,987,127 of record NC_000007.14, read on the forward strand.
ATTTTATATAGATACATATAATTAATTTTTTGTCCTGTGAGTTTCTTCACACATCCTAAAGCAGAATCTGAGATAAAATCTTGTTTGCAGGTTTGGGGCAAGAGTAAAAAATTGAGGATTGAGAAGAAGGTGGAAAAAAATCAATTAAAAAGTGTATTATGGAAGTCAATACTGAGAAAAAAATCTGAGGATAGTTGACAATGACTCTCCAAATTGTCCACTGAGGTTTGTACCAAGAAAAGTACTTATTCATTCCATTCCTCATTGGATGCTCTCAGGGGGTTCAATCTCCCACAGCCCCAGCTGTGACTCTTGCTTGTCTTTTGGCTTGCTGGGGCATAAAGAAAAAGATTCCTCATAGGAATCAGAAGTGAGGTGAAAGGATGTGAGGAGGCAGCTGAGGCATCTCACGTGTCTTTCCAATTGCCTCTCCCCCTCAATTTGGGACAGAGATTTTGGCTGTTTATTTCACAGCCATATCCCTAGCACCTGGAATTACGCCTGGTATTTACAAGTTCTTAATACATATTTGCATGAATGAATAAATGAACGAATTCTTTACCAATGTTCCTCTTTCTCTCCTCTCTTCAACTTACCCCACTATACTGTCTTTCTTCCATTTAATTTATATTTAAGATAAAGATAGCCCTCTTATTAAGTCTTTCTTTGTTTCTTATAGCTTAGCTGGCATTTCTTCAAAAATAATTTAGAATAGTCTACACTCACTGCTTTTGCTTGCTCATCTCTCATCCAATGCCTTCCCTGCTCAATCCACTGAGTCTAGCTTTTATTCTAGAGAGGTGGCCTACTATTTTCAGAAGCAGAAATCACCAGTGAACTGTGTATTGCTGATAGGACACTTTTCTGTATCCATAACTATTATTAGACTTTGTTTTATATTTTTTCTTGGCTGCTTCCTCTAATAAACCCCATTATGCCTTGGAATTCTTTATTAATTATTCCTTAATGACGTTTATCACAGTCTTCTCATCCTCCAGCCACTCCTAACATATTTACTGTTCCTTGCCCACTCCTTTCTACTCTCCTTTGGATGCTATTTTTCTTCCCTAATAAGCTCTTGTGTTTTTGTTGTTGTTGTTGTTGTTTGTTTGTTTTTTGAGAGGGAGTCTCGCTCTGTCGCCGAGGCTGGAGTGCAGTGGCGTGATCTCGGCTCGCTGCTAGCTCTGCCCCTCGGGTTCATGCCATTCTCCTGCCTCAGCCTCCCGAGTAGCTGGGACTACAGGCGCCCACCACCACGACTGGCTAATTTTTTTGTATTTTTAGTAGAGATGGGGTTTCACCATGTGTTAGCCAGGATGGTCTCGATCTCCCGACCTCGTGATCCGCCACCTCAGCCTCCCAACTTTTGTGGTTTTAATTACTATGTGCTGTAGAACTGCAGATCTCTACTTCAAACCCTGATGGCTGAGCTGAGAACAGGATTTTCTTAACAAATTTAAGACAATCTGTCTGAGACAAATGAAACAAATGATTTAGGAGGTACATTAATGTAATGGTATAATTTAGAGATTTTCCATAGTTTCCAATTTTTATACCTTAAATGAATTATATTAGTTATTAAATATAATAATTTTACACAAAAATTATCAATCATAAAGACAATTATGATGAAAGGAATGTCTATCAACTTTTTCTATGCAGAGATATAATCTTTAGAATTTAGTGGCCACAAATCTCAAAAACTTAGAGCACAACACATCATGGATATTCAGCTTTTTTTTTTTTTTTTTCTGACAGAGTCTCGCTGTTGCCCAGGCTGGAGTGCAGTGGTGCGATCTCGGCTCACTGCAGGATCCGCACCCCCCCGATATTCAGCTTTTTTAAAAAAAGTTGAAGACTGTATTTAGGTTTGTACAATATTGGAATCAATAACCAAAACAGAAATTTTAGAAGAGTAAGGAAAATTTTCCACAGATACTTCTTTCATTCCAACAATTTCACATGAAAAATAGTTATGTGGTTATTAAGGAGCTTATTTCATGAAGGTTTTCATGACATAAAGTTTACAATCGAAATTCAAAGAAAGTGTTTCTTAGGCAGAGAAAGATTAACAGCTAATGTAATTGAAGTGAAATTAGCTAGCTCTAAATACTTTCAAAAATGAAGCTGATTAATATTTATACATTTCATGTTCCTTAATAATACAAAAAAAATCTATAAGGTAGATAAAAATTATTATTTTTTGTTCTTTTAAGTTTTAGGGTACATGTGCACCTTGTGCAGGTTAGTTACATATGTATACATGTGCCATGCTGGTGCACTGCACCCACTAACTCGTCATCTAGCATTAGGTATATCTCCCAATGCTATCCCTCCCCCCTCCCCCCACCCCACCACAGTCTCCAGAGTGTGATATTCCCCTTCCTGTGTCCATGTGATCTCATTGTTCAATTCCCACCTATGAGTGAGAATATGCGGTGTTTGGTTTTTTGTTCTTGCGATAGTTTACTGAGAATGATGATTTCCAATTTCATCCATGTCCCTACAAAGGACATGAACTCATCATTTTTTATGGCTGCATAGTATTCCATGGTGTATATGTGCCACATTTTCTTAATCCAGTCTATCATTGTTGGACATTTGGGTTGGTTCCAAGTCTTTGCTATTGTGAATACTGCCGCAATAAACATACGTGTGCATGTGTCTTTATAGCAGCATGATTTATAGTCCTTTGGGTATATACCCAGTAATGGGATGGCTGGGTCAAATGGTATTTCCAGTTCTAGATCCCTGAGGAATTACCACACTGACTTCCACAATGGTAGAACTAGTTTACAGTCCCACCAACAGTGTAAAAGTATTCCTATTTCTCCACATCCTCTCCAGCACCTGTTGTTTCCTGACTTTTTAATGATTGTCATTCTAACTGGTGTGAGATGGTATCTCATTGTGGTTTTGATTTGCATTTCTCTGATGGCCAGTGATGATGAGCATTTTTTCATGTGTTTTTTGGCTGCATAAATATCTTCTTTTGAGAAGTGTCTGTTCATGTCCTTCGCCCACTTTTTGATGGGGTTGTTTGTTTTTTTCTTGTAAATTTGTTTGAGTTCATTGTAGATTCTGGATATTAGCCCTTTGTCAGATAAGTAGGTTGCAAAAATTTTCTCCCATTTTGTAGGTTGCCTGTTCACTCTGATAGTAGTTTCTTATGCTGTGCAGAAGCTCTTTAGTTTAATTAGATCCCATTTGTCAATTTTGGCTTTTGTTGCCATGGCTTTTGGTGTTTTAGACATGAAGTCCTTGCCCATGCCTATGTCCTGAATGGTAATGCCTAGGTTTTCTTCTAGGGTTTTTATGGTTTTAGGTCGAACGTTTAAGTCTTTAATCCATCTTGAATTGATTTTTGTATAAGGTGTAAGGAAGGGATCCAGTTTCAGCTTTCTACATATGGCTAGCCAGTTTTCCCAGCACCATTTATTAAATAGGGAATCCTTTCCCCATTGCTTGTTTTTCTCAGGTTTGTCAAAGATCAGATAGTTGTAGATATGTGGCTCTATTTCTGAGGGCTCTGTTCTGTTCCATTGATCTATATCTGTGTTTTGGTACCAGTACCATGCTGTTTTGGTTACTGTAGCCTTGTAGTATAGTTTGAAGTCAGGTAGTGTGATGCCTCCAGCTTTGTTCTTTTGGCTTAGGATTGACTTGGCGACGCAGGCTCTTTTTTGGTTCCATATGAACTTTAAAGTAGTTTTTTCCAATTCTGTGAAGAAAGGCATTGGTAGCTTGATGGGGATGGCATTGAATCTGTAAATTACCTTGGGCAGTATGACCATTTTCACGATATTGATTCTTCCTACCCATGAGCATGGAATGTTCTTCCTTTTGTTTGTATCCTCTTTTATTTCCTTGAGCAGTGATTTGTACTTCTCCTTAAAGAGGTCCTTCACATCCCTTGTAAGTTGTATTCCTAGGTATTTTATTCTCTTTGAAGCAATTGTGAATGGGAGTTCACTCATGATTTGGCTCTCTGTTTGTCTGTTGTTGGTGTATAAGAACGCTTGTGATTTTTGTACATTGATTTTGTATCCTGAGACTTTGCTGAAGTTGCTTATCAGCTTAAGGAGATTTTGGGCTGAGACAATGGGGTTTTCTAGATATACGATCATGTCGTCTGCAAACAGGGACAATTTGACTTCCTCTTTTCTTAATTGAATACCCTTTATTTCCTTCTCCTGCCTAATTGCCCTGGCCAGAACTTCCAACACTATGTTGAATAGGAGTGGTGAGAGAGGGCATCCCTGTCTTGTGCCAGTTTTCAAAGGGAATGCTTCCAGGTTTTGCCCATTCAGTATGATATTGGCTGTGGGTATGTCATAGATAGCTCTTATTATTTTGAAATACGTCCCATCAATACCTAATTTATTGAGAGTTTTTAGCATGAAGGGTTGTTGAATTTTGTCAAAGGCTTTTTCTGCATCTATTGCGATAATCATGTGGTTTTTGCCTTTGGCTCTCTTTATATGCTGGATTACATTTATTGATTTGCATATATTGAACCAGCGTTGCATCCCAGGGATGAAGCCCACTTGTTCATGGTGGATAAGCTTTTTGATGTGCTGCTGGATTCGGTTTGCCAGTATTTTATTGAGGATTTTTGCATCAATGTTCATCAAGGATATTGGTCTAAAATTCTCTTTTTTGGTTGTGTCTCTGCCTGGCTTTGGTATCAGAATGATGCTGGCCTCATAAAATGAGTTAGGGAGGATTCCCTCTTTTTCTATTGATTGGAATAGTTTCAGAAGGAATGGTACCAGTTCCTCCTTGTACCTCTGTTAGAATTCGGCTGTGAATCCATCTGGTCCTGGACTCTTTTTGGTTGGTAAGCTATTGATTATTGCCACAATTTCAGATCCTGTTATTGGTCTATTCAGAGATTCAACTTCTTCCTGGTTTAGTCTTGGGAGAGTGTATGTGTCGAGGAATTTATCCATTTCTTCTAGATTTTCTAGTTTATTTGCGTAGAGGTGTTTGTAGTATTCTCTGATGGTAGTTTGTATTTCTGTGGGATTGGTGGTGATATCCCCTTTATCATTTTTTATTGTGTCTATTTGATTCTTCTCTTTTTTTCTTTATTAGTCTTGCTAGCGGTCTATCAATTTTGTTGATCCTTTCAAAAAACCAGCTCCTGGATTCATTCATTTTTTGAAGGGTTTTTTGTGTCTCTATTTCCTTCAGTTCTGCTCTGATTTTAGTTATTTCTTGCCTTCTGCTAGCTTTTGAATGTGTTTGCTCTTGCTTTTCTAGTTCTTTTAATTGTGATGTTAGGGTGTCAATTTTGGATCTTTCCTGCTTTCTCTTGTGGGCATTTAGTGCTATAAATTTCCCTCTACACACTGCTTTGAATGCGTCCCAGAGATTCTGGTATGTTGTGTCTTTGTTGTTGTTGGTTTCAAAGAACATCTTTATGTCTGCCTTCATTTCCTTATGTACCCAGTAGTCACTCAGGAGCAGGTTGTTCAGTTTCCATGTAGTTGAGTGGTTTTGAGTGAGATTCTTAATCCTGAGTTCTAGTTTGATTGCACTGTGGTCTGAGAGATAGTTTGTTATAATTTCTGTTCTTTTACATTTGCTGAGGAGAGCTTCCCTTCCAAGTATGTGGTCAATTTTGGAATAGATGTGGTGTGGTGCCGAAAAAGTGTATATTCTGTTGATTTGGGGTGGAGAGTTCTGTAGATGTCTATTAGGTCCGCTTGGTGCAGAGCTGAGTTCAATTCCTGGGTATCCTTGTTGACTTTCAGTCTCGTTGATCTGTCTAATGTTGACACTGGGGTGTTAAAGTCTCCCATTACTAATGTGTGGGAGTCTAAGTCTCTTTGTAGTCACTCAGGACTTGCTTTATGAATCTGGGTGCTCCTGTATTGGGTGCATATATATTTAGGATAGTTAGCTCTTCTTGTTGAATTGATCCCTTTACCATTATGTAATGGCCTTCTTTGTCTCTTTTGATCTTTGTTGGTTTCAAGTCTGTTTTATCAGAGACTAGGATTGCAACCCCTGCCTTTTTTTGTTTTCCATTTGCTTGGTAGATCTTCCTCCATCCTTTTATTTTGAGCGTATGTGTGTCTCTGCACGTGAGATGGGTGTCCTGAATACAGCACACTGATGGCTCTTGACTCTATCCAATTTGCCAGTCTGTGTCTTTTAATTGGAGCATTTAGTCCATTTACATTTAAAGTTAATATTGTTATGTGTGAATTTGATCCTGTCATTATGATGTTACCTGGTTATTTTGCTCGTTAGTTGATGCAGTTTCTTCCTAGTCTTGATGGTGTTTACATTTTGGCATGATTTTGCAGTGGCTGGTACCGGTTTTTCCTTTCCATGTTTAGTGCTTCCTTCAGGAGCTCTTTTAGGGCAGGCCTGGTGGTGACAAAATCTCTCAGCATTTGCTTGTCTGTAAAGTATTTTATTTCTCCTTCGCTTATGAAGCTTACTTTGGCTGGATATGAAATTCTGGGTTGAAAATTCTTTTCTTTAAGAATGTTGAATATTGGCCCCCACTCTCTTCTGGCTTGTAGGGTTTCTGCTGAGAGATCTGCTGTTAGTCTGATCGGCTTCCCTTTGAGGGTAACCCGACCTTTCTCTCTGGCTGCCCTTAATATTTTTTCCTTCATTTCAACTTTGGTGAATCTGACAATTATGTGTCTTGGAGTTGCTCTTCTCGAGGAGTATCTTTGTGGCATTCTTTATATTTCCTGAATCTGAACGTTGGCTTGCCTTGCTAGATTGGGGAAGTTCTCCTGGATAATATCCTGCAGAGTGTTTTCCAACTTGGTTCCATTCTCCCCATCACTTTCAGGTACACCAATCAGACGTAGATTTGGTCTTTTCACATAGTCCCATATTTCTTGGAGGCTTTGCTCATTTCTTTTTATTCTTTTTTCTCTAAACTTCCCTTCTCGCCTCATTTCATTCATTTCATCTTCCATCGCTGATACCCTTTCTTCCAGTTGATTGCATCGGCTCCTGAGGCTTCTGCATTCTTCATGTAGTTCTCGAGCCTTGGTTTTCAGCTCCATCAGCTCCTTTAAGCACTTCTCTGTATTGGTTATTCTAGTTATACATTCTTCTAAATTTTTTGCAAAGTTTTCAACTTCTTTGCCTTTGGTTTGAATGTCCTCCCGTAGCTCAGAGTAATTTGATCGTCTGAAGCCTTCTTCTCTCAGCTCATCAAAGTCATTCTCCATCCAGCTTTGTTCCGTTGCTGGTGAGGAACTGCGTTCCTTGGGAGGAGGAGAGGTGCTCTGCTTTTTAGAGTTTCCAGTTTTTCTGCTCTGTTTTTTCCCCATCTTTGTGGTTTTATCTACTTTTGGTCTTTGATGATGGTGATGTACAGATGGGTTTTTGGTCTGGATGTCCTTTCTGTTTGTTAGTTTTCCTTCTAACAGACAGGACCCTCAGCTGCAGGTCTGTTGGAATACCCTGCCGTGTGAGGTGTTAGTGTGCCCCTGCTGGGGGGTGCCTCCCAGTTAGGCTGCTCCGGGATCAGGGGTCAGGGACCCACTTGAGGAGGCAGTCTGCCCGTTCTCAGATCTCCAGCTGCGTGCTGGGAGAACCACTGCTCTCTTCAAAGCTGTCAGACAGGGCCATTTAAGTCTGCAGAGGTTACTGCTGTCTTTTTGTTTGTCTGTGCCCTGCCCCCAGAGGTGGAGCCTACAGAGGCAGGCAGGCCTCCTTGAGCTGTGGTGGGCTCCACCCAGTTGGAACTTCCCGGCTGCTTTGTTTACCTAATCAAGCCTGGGCAATGGCGGGCACCCCTCCCCCAGCCTAGCTGCCGCCTTGCAGTTTGATCTCAGACTGCTGTGCTAGCAATCAGCGAGACTCCATGGGCACAGGACCCTCCGAGCCATGTGCGGGATATAATCTCTTGGTGCGCCGTTTTTTAAGCCCGTCGGAAAAGTGCAGTATTCAGGTGGGAGTGACCCGATTTTCCAGGTGCCATCCGTCACCCCTTTCTTTGACTCGGAAAAGGAACTCCCTGACCCCTTGCGCTTCCCAAGTGAGGCAATGCCTCACCCTGCTTCGGCTCGCGCACGGTGCGCTCACCCACTGACCTGCACCCACTGTCTGGCACTCCCTAGTGAGATGAACCCGGTACCTCAGATGGAAATGCAGAAATCACTGTCTTCTGCGTCGCTCACTCTGGGAGCTGTAGACCGAAGCTGTTCCTATTTGGCCATCTTGGCTCCTCCCCCCAATAAAAATTATTTCATATATGAATGGTGAAACATAAAAGAAACCCTAGTACATAACAGGCTCCACTGTGTCATATTAAGATTTTAATATTCTTAAGATCCTAGAATCCATTAATTAAAGGAAACTTATTTATTATTTAGACCAGGAAATTAATAACAGTTTGGAATAAGATGCACTATATGCTGCCTGTGGTTGAATATTAATAGACAATATATTATGATGACATTCATTTAAATAAGCTACGGGGATTTTTTTCTGAGAAATAGCAGGTAGTGAATATGACTTCCATTTAAAACAGATATGGCTTTATAAGCATGTTTTCATGAAACTGGTTTCAGTTGCATTTAATTGGTGTTCGAGTAAAAATAAAATTAAAACAGCATCTTTTCAAGGCTTTCTATGTTCCAATTTACAATTTTTTTCAGATACTTTAGTCCTTATTAAACTTTCTCACTTGCAAAGCTTTTCAACCTGCTGATCTCAGGAGATTCTGACATAGCCTATTGGAGGCTAAACACAAGGACACTTTTTTAGAATGAGTTTATAGACTAGGTTAGGAAAGTATCAATTATGTTTTCATTTGAACAAAAATTAAACTCTTTCATTTGTCTGCTCAGCTGTTCATGGAATACTGCATAAATTGGGTTTAAAATACATGTGTTATCAACGTAACTGCCTTGCAATTCCTTACATTCAATAGAACTATAAATAAAGCCCACTGTCCTAAGAGCACTGCAACTTGTTGTAGCATTTCAGTCTCAAAACTAAACCATCTTTGATTGTACTGGAAAGAAAATCCCAAACTGACTAGTTAAAATAAAAATCAGCATAAGTTAGGCTTTTATATCTTCTGAGTATTTTTATAAAACAAGGTACATGTATGGAATTTTCAAGCATTTTTAAAAGAGATTTTCATTTGTATAACTAGTTAACAACAGCTACCATTTACTAGTAATCTTTTTTTTTTTTTTTTTTTTGAGATGTAGTCTCCCTCTGTCGCTCAGGCTGGAGTGCAGTGGTGTGATCTCAGCCCACTGAAACCTCCACTTCCCAGGTTCAAGCGATTCTCCTGCCTCAGCCTCCTGAGTAGCTGGGATTACAGGCATGTGCCACCACGCCAGGCTAATTTTTGTATTGTTAGTAGAGACGGGGTTTCATTATGTTGGTCAGGCTGGTCTCAAACTCCTGACTTCGTGATCCACCTACCTGGGCCTCCCAAAGTGCTGGGATTAGAGGTGTGAGCCACCACGCCCAGCCTTTACTAGTAATCTTAATTTTAAAACAAAACACTTTTTAAAAGTATTTATAATCACAGTCTTTACTGTGAGAAGAGGAAATTGAGGCTCAATTGACTTTAACTAACGTGTTGAGAATCACATAATAAATACAATTGAAGTTCAGGTTTATGATTGCAAATCATTTTTGGAATTAGGCTTGTTTCTTAGTACTTTAATGTCAAATTTGGGGTATTTTATAGCAAATCAAAGACATTTCTAGAGTCCTGTACCAATGCCAGTTTTATTTCACCTCTTATTACCTATTAAAAATTTTACTCTAAAATGAAAATTTTTATTACTAAGCAATATTTTTCTTTCTATACTCTGATCGAGATTTGATTTCATCCCAAATAAAAGTATATTGGATGTAACTGAAACCACTGGAATGTGTATGATTAGTCAGGGTGTTCTTATGAAACCAACCTCAAGATAGAAATGGGTGTAGCACTGGTTTTAATTCATGTATTTATATGAGGTTTGGTTATTCATTCTGTCAAGGACACATAATGAACATGGCCTCATGAAGATGATAATATGGTAAAACTAACTGGTTGGGTAACATTAAATGTCTTTAATAAAATCCAAGAATATCAGATACTACCATGACCCTAAATCTTTACCTTTTCTATTTACCTTGTCAAACTATCCCTGACCTTTTTTATAGTATTTTATTTTAAATGGATTGACTTACATGGCTCGAATAGAAACAAAGAAACTGTAAAATTTCTCTGCTTATTTCACTGTATATAGCTATGGCTTTAATGTGTTGTGGGTTTTTTTCCTTCCCACTGTAAAATTAAACAAAGTTTGACAGTGAAATATTCCAATTGCTAGACCACAATATATGTATGAACTTTGCCTGATAGAATAGAATGTTGAAAGTAAATATTTCTCTAAACTCTGCCCAAATATGTTTTGTCTACTTGAGTGCCAAAGAAATAATAATGACAATAATGCATAGCAGAGAATATGGAGGAGAACTGAAATAGTTTTCTATCAAAGGAATATTGTTCACTCACAAACAATCTTTTTCCAAAATTGTAAAGTCCTAAACAAGCATTTCCATGCCAGCATAGTATTATTAATTTACATTTAATTGTTACAGATTGATAATGAAATTTTTCTTTTTTTTTTTTTTGAGAGGGAGTCTCCATCATCAGGGCTGGAGTGCAGTGGCGCAATCTTGGCTCACTGCAACCTCCATCTCCTGGGTTCAAGTGATTATTGTGCCTTAGTTTCCTGAGGAGCTGGGATTACAGGCACCTGCCACTACACCCAGGTAATTTTTTGCATTTTTAGTAGAGACGGGGTTTCACCATCTTGGCCAGGCTGGTCTCGAACTCTTGACCTCGTGATTCGCATGCCTCGGCCTCCCAAAGTGCTGGAATTACAGGTGTGAGCCACTGCACAATATCTTAAATGCTACACAAATGTCATCTAATAGCTATCACAGGTATAAGTCGGTTATGTATTTCTCTGGAAACTGCAAAATGCTAAAAAAAAAAATCTAATAGATATTAAGTACTTGTACTGTCATGTATGGGTTGATGACAGAGATACATTCTGAGAAATGCATCATTATGTGATTTTGTCATTGTGCGAAAAATCATAAAGTACACTTACCTACTACCTAGGCTAGATGATAGTCTGTTGCTCCTAGGATACGAACCTGTATAGCATGCTACTGTACTGAATATTTTAGGCAATGATAACACAATAGTAAGTATTTGTGTATCTAAACGTATCTAAACATAGAAAAGGTACAATAAAAGTATGGTAGAAAAGATTTTTAAATGGTACACCTGTGTAGGGCATTTATCATGAATGGAGCTTGCAGGACTGGCAGTTGCTTTGGTCAAGTCAGTCAGTGAGTGGTGAGTGAATGTGAAGGCCTAGGACATTGCTATACACTACTGCAGACTTTATAGTCGCCATACACTTAGGCTACACTAATTTTTTTTAAAGTATTTTTCTTTCTTCAGTAATACATTAATGTTAGCTTTCTGCAAGTACTTTACAATATAAACTATTGAATTTTTAAAACTTTTTGATGCTTTTGTAAAAACATTTAGCTTAAAACACATATTGTACACCTGTCCCAACATGTTTTCTTTCCTTACATTCTTGTTTGATAAATTATTATTATTTTTAAAATTTGTTATTATTATTTCACTTTTTAAACTCCTTTTGTTAAAAATGAAGACACAAAAACATACACTAGCCTAGGCCTACACAGGGTAAGGATCATCAATATCTGTGTCTTTCACCTCCACATCTTGTCCTACTGGAAGGACTTCAGGGTCAACAGCACATATATTTGATATCTCTATATTATAGGAGATAACACATTATCTCCTATGATAACAATGCTACCTTCTGGAATACCTCCTGAAGGATCTGCCAGAGGATGTTTTATAAGTAATTTTTTATAAGTAGAAGGAGTACAATGTAAAATAACAACAGAAAGTGAAGTATTGAAAATGTTAGGCAATAGGAAATTTTAGGCCCATTATAATCTTATGGGACCACTGTCATATGTGGGATTTATTCTTGTCCATAATGTTGTTATGCAGCGCATGACTATACTCGCAAGATTGTTGGTTTCCAAAGTCTCATAATTTTGTTAAAAGTTATTTAGTAGGTCAGTTTAAATTGACATCTTTTTAAGTTAAAATCCTTATTAATGTACTAAACAACATAGCTAAGATGTGAAATATAAACTTAAAATCCCTGGAGATATAAATAATAAAAATTCACGAAAACACAATATAAATGCAAAATTATGCACATTCTAATTCATATCAGAAAATAATTAAATAATAAAAACCTTATTTTTACAATGTCGTGATATGATACAATTCTACAAAATAAAATGTAATTGTATTAATAGGTAGAAAATTAAGTCCTAGAAACTGAGATGGATAACACATCAGAGTCTTTGAGCTGCATGAAGTCACAGACCATTTTTATAGTGTTCATCTCTGTATCACCAGAATTTAGCATTGTGCCAGGACTATCATATCTACTAATATACATTTATTTACAGTGGAAATTAGTTAATGAACCCTGTTTTAAAAATGTATTATAACTGAAAGGAAATATGCAAAGGAACCATGACAAATACAGAAGTAAGAGACTCTGGAAATTAGAAATTCTTAAGATAACAATATTTTAGTGTCTCCTGTAACTTCATTTGCAACAGTAGTGGCAAAATTAGTCTCCAAATATACGTTGGTAAAGGTTTTCTACTGGAGAATAATATGGTGCAGAATCAGGATGATAACTTGTGACTGTTCCTAGTTTATCTTTCTCATACTGGGGCACCTCACTTTATGCATGGTCTCCTTGAGGAAGGCCTTAAATTCTTTAATTTCTTGTATTTATTTCATTTTTTCATCAATACTAATTCATTCACTCATTTAATACATGTTGGTTTAAAAGACATTTTAGGTTTTGGCGATATAACAATAAAGACAATATGGCAATTTATCCACCCCTGAGTGCCTGTATAGTTTTCTAAATCTAAACATACATACTCTATAGTGGCCAACAGAGTCCATTTGGACAGTTGTTAGCTGTTGTTGTTTTTAACTTCTAAGATAAAGTACCAATGTGTTTGTTCATTGGGGTAATCTATGGGACATGGTGATTGATAAGGATTAGTCATCACTCTATACCAGACTGATAAATTAGATCACATTGATACTTTAGCATACAAATTATTATAAACAAATAAGGCTAATGTGCCTGATTTTAAAAATCATAATAGAATTATGATTATTTTATTATCTTGAAGACTTAAACCAAGGATTAATAGGAAAGGCTACTGGGAATGTAGCTCATTTTCAGTTTAGCTAAACTAAAATAATAAAATTATATTAACAATGACATTTTGAGCTAAGTACTCGTTACTGTCTTTGATGCATTACTGATAGTGTTTCTAATTCTTCCATTATCCTGGTGAAATAGGTATTATGCTCATTGTTTTACTGATGGTGGAGCTCAGAGGGATGGTTTAAGTGTTCCAAATGGATTTGTCATGTAGCTATGACTGTAGAGTCTAAACCCTTTCCAGTAGAACACTGTGTAGTTTGTTATTACAAAACATCTATGCTACAATTCACCAGTTGTATGTTTCAATGTTAATTATAATGCCAATTGAATGAATATATATTAGGAGCTTTCCATATTATACCTCATTTTTTCTTTAAAATACTACTGAAGAGTGAGGAATAACATTGTATATAGGTATGAAATTGTTGGGGTAAGACATCTTGGGAAAACTGCTTACCATTAAAATATTGAATCAACTGAAAATTTGAATCCAGCCTATTCATTTTATAGGTAAACTACCACAGACACCTGAAGACTAAATGAGATCACTTGAAGTTGTCAGACTAGATGCAATATTTTCTCATTTTTCTGTCTACCAACTTCTTCTAATACGTGTTTTTTTTTTTTGCAGTTATAAATATCTCAATAGATGTTTGCTCTATTCTTTTATCAAAAAATTCAAATAACACATTTACAGGCATGTATTTTTCTGTCATATGTCATTAATCATTTCAAGGTGTGCTTTAATTTAAACTATTTCTATTAGCTGACTTCCCAAAAGGAACAACAGACACATGGTATATGTTAGACTACTTTAGTTCTCCTCTTTCCCTTCACCCCATGTCCTGCTGCTTCCACCCAACCCCCCTCTCACCCGTACCCCCATTCCTCCAACCCTATACAAATCCCCCTGGGCCATCTGTGATTCAGGATAAAGGGACAAATATATGTACATTTCTTAAGCATGTAGACTAGGAATCTATAACAAATTTACTGTCAGTGATACAAACCTCTCAAATTTTTTTTTGCTAACAAATGATTTCTTTAAGAAAATATGAAATAATTCATACGTAAGCTAAAAATTGACTGAAATGTCTTCAGTATTCTGTCATTCCGAATATATTTCCTTTAGTACATTCATGGAAGTTACATATCATTTCAGTTATACTATCATGTGTAAAATAGATTTTAGGAGTGGGGAAGAGTTTGTTCATTGAGGTAACTTAAATAATATAAAATGTAATATAAAATGTAAATAATATATTTTATCATTGAGAAAACAAAATATGAGCCAAAAATACATTTCTTTACATCTTTAGATTTAACTAGCATTGAAAGTTTCAAGGTTTATTTTGACTAGTGTCTGGCTTTCTAATTGACAAGCTAATTAGAAGGGTATGTATGCTAGACTACTTGTCCATACCAAGTTCAGTGTGCAGCTGTCCTGGGGGAAAGACGTACAACTGAACTTGTTGACACTTGAAATTAAGCAGCACTCACCCGAAAAACTGTCATTTCTTCCAGCAGAACCTCTTCTAAATCATACCAAGTCTCCTTAGGAATTGAAACTACTTTAAGAACGGTCCCAACATCTTTGAAAGAAAGTGGGGAGAAGACCACAAGTTAAGTAGATCTGAACAGAGATTAGTGTTAATGAATGAAATATGTATTTGTCAGACAAAGAACCTTTGATATCGGTCTTCCTTTTAATTCATTTTTTGGTCAAAACATGAGTAAAATATATATTCAAATGCATTTCATGCAATTAGACAAAGTGTAAAGGTAAACTATAAACACAATCTTGGAATAATAAAAGATTGAATTTTTAGAAATATGTTTAGCCTTGAAGAAGGTTTTATCATGAGACTGCATACATTTTTTAAAATATAATAATTATTACAGAGATTGCCTGGATTGGATCAATTCTTTTCATTATTTCTAAAAATATCTCCTTAATTGCCTGGTATCTCAGAAACAAAACCTAAAAATAACGTCAGTTTGTCACGACAGGTTCTTCCACTTTTATTACAAAATCAGGGTACTACTATGAAGACTAAATATAAATGAAAAATGCAAGGAATGTTGTCAAGCAAGGGAAGTAGTCAGAGCTTCAGAGTCCTGGCTGCTCTTCTTGTCATCTAAAAGTCTTTAGCACTTAGAAGTTCCTAATGATGGCTCAATGGCCATTATGTGATGAATGACAATAACCCGATTTCTCAAAGTAAACACCTAGAATTGCTTATTACTGTGGTTTTTCAAAAATGTACACTTTGATTAATCCATTTTAGAGAATTAAGGAAATTTAACATTCAGAAGCCAAAAGCATAAAAATATTGAATGCATTTTATAGAGATTTCAAACCTTATTTGTTTTTCTAATTTGCATTGTTAAAAGAGACAACTTGTTTTAATGACAAGAGTTGTCACTCTTACTCTAAGTTGGGCTTAAAAGTTATTAATTTTCCAGTATTACAGATATGTTCCTATTCCTTGATGGAATGAGGAACAGGGGCTTATTAAATTCAAAACTTTTACTCTTCAACCTTCTAGTTCTGACTAAACTTGATCAAATCTAGTTAGCTTCAACTGGTTCCTTTTAATCAAGTTCAACAAAGTTATTGTGAAGAAAATCTTGTCAACAAAGAATAAATTATATGAGAAAAATAATTCATCGATAACTGTTTTTGGAGAACCAACATGATATGTTATATGAGATCAAGAAAGGTTGCTAATTTATCCCTTGTAAAGTTAAACCAAAAAAAGTACACTTTTAAGAAGACCCTTCTGTATTTACAGGACCTTAGACTACTCATAACACTAAAGATTAAAGGTAAATTAGGTTAATCTACTCAGTGCTTCTGATCATGTCTCCGGTACCCAAACACAACTTTATCTCTTTTCCAGATCAAGTTTTACTGAGTAGTATTTCAAACAATTTCACACAAATTGAATCAGATTACTCAACTAGGATCAATATACTATGATGTGCAACTTAGTTAAAAGATAAAATTACTGTAATCAGTTTACTTTGCTGACAGATGACCTTGGTCTGTACTGACCAATAGCCATCCACATCATCAGACATTCAACACACTCATGAAATTGGTGCCTTTAAAGACAGATTGTGTCCAAGAGGAATTAAAAGCTCATGATTAAGTTTATTTGGTCAAATACCCAGAAGCAAGCTTTGTTGCTTTGACAGTGAGTGAGAGACTTCTCAATACATTTAAGCCAGAGGTGAAGAAAAAGGCAAGTGTGACATGACTGAACAAACTTAATTCCTCTGCAAAGAAATTCAATTATAATTTGATGTTAAATGATAAACTAATATTTACCCAAGAGAAATACTATTTCTTATATGTTCTAAGGATATTTATAACCAGAAATTGATACTTGCAATTCATTGCCTTTATGAAACCCTGGGTCTGCTTTGGATTCTTTTATTTGGTAGAGAAACTTTCTCACTCATAAAAGTAGACTTTAATATATTACTCAGAACCTGACACTGTTACACCTGATAACATAAGTATTTCACAATTTTGTTATAAAACTTTAAGTCTTTAAAGCAGTTACTATATGGTTGCCATTCTCCTGTAGTTAATGCAATTTTTTTTCTGTTTCTCACTAAGGGAAAATAAATGTTGTTATACAAGGTTTCAGTGGAGCACTCACTCTGTTTCCCATTGATTTATGTCAGTTAACAGCGTTAATGGAGACTAGAAATTTATTACCTTGGAATCTGACCCTAAGTAGCAAGTATCAGATTTGTAACCGGGACTTTCAAAAATAATATTACTATTAAAAAGAGCTGGGAAAAAATAAAATAATATATCATAATAACAATGGAATTCATTCTGAAAATATACCTGAAAAAGTCTGTTTCTAATTATGGAATTAGTAAAAGTGAATTGTTAAATGTCCATAGAAATGTATCTAAGAATTACTTGAATCAATTATGTTGTTTTTCTAATGAATTTTTTTTCTTTTCATTGTATGACAGAAACACTGAAAAAATTTTATTGCTAACATTTATTTACTAGATGATGTTCACCTTATTGTAATTTTAAAGTTCAGATAATTTTGTACTAATATTCTGGAACTATTATTGAATGTCTTGGGAATTTAAGGCAGGATTTGAGTAATATATCTTTGTTCTAAAAAGCCACTGGCCAGAAAAGTTATGATGCAATTATAAACACTGATTGCTTACCTAATCATTAGCTTTACCTGATTAAACTTATCTACTTGTCACAGAAAAGGGAATTTATTTTAAATTAGTATGTCTCAACTTGTCAGAAAAGATAATAAATTTGTAATGGAAGAATATTCATGTTATTTAGTCATTTATTAAAGGTGAATTATACCTTGAAAGTAACGATAGAAACTGGCCTCAGTTCTTAGTATACATTTGACCCTTGAACAACATGGGTTTGAACTGTGTGGGTCCACTTATATACAAATCTTCATCTGCTCCTACCACCCTTGGGAGAGCAATGTCAACTCTTACTCTTCCTTCTCTGTAGCCTACTCAACAGGAAGACAAGGGTGATCCAGTTCCACTTAATGAACATTAAATATATTTTCTCTTCCCTATAATTTTCAGAACACTTCCTTTTCTCTAGCTTGTTTTATTGTAGGAATACAATATCTAATACATATGGCATACAACATATGAAGCTAATCAACTGTTTATCTTATAGGTAAGGCTTCCAGTCAACAGTAGGCTATTAGTAGTTAAGTTTTGGGGAAATCAAAAGTTAGTTATATGTGGATTTTCAACTGCACAGAGGGTTGGCATCCCAACCCCTGAGATGTTCAAAGATCAACTTAATCAGTTAAACATAGTGTTCGGAAAAAAGTTTACAGCTGAAATTTAAAAATTTACCTGTTCCGATAAACATAACATCATACTGTCCATCTTCTGCATCCACTCGGTCTACGACAATTTGTGTAAATTGATAATTTACATCCGTTTTGATCACTATTGGGCGATTGTTCATAGGAAACACTGGATTGTACATGGCTGGATGACTTCTTGCAAAGGTTATAACATCATCAGGAAGGTCCTTTGTAGAGTCAAAACCACCAAATGTTTTGCTGGGACACTATTAAGATAAAGAGAAAATTATCTTTTGATTAAAATCTAATAAACATAATTATAAATTATATAATAACACATGGCCTCAATGGTTCTACTTAAAATAGTAGTGCAGGCCAGGTATGGTAGCTCACACCTCTAATCCTAGCACTTTGAGAGGCCGATGCGGGTGGATCACTTGAGGCCAGGAGTTGCAGACCAGCCTGGCCCAACATGGTGAAACCCCATCTCTACTAAAAATACAAAAATTAGCTGGGCGTGATGGTGCATGCCTGTAGTCCCAGCTACTTGGGAGGCTGAGGTAGGAGAATTGCTTGAACCTGGGAGGTGGAGGTTGCAGTGAACTGAGATCATGCCACTGCACTGTAGCCTAAGCAATAGAACAAGAATCTGTCTCAAAAATAAAATAAAGGAAAAAAGTAGTGCAATATATAGTATATATTTCCCAAATATATCTTAATTCTCAGTGAGATTTAGTTATGTCACTAATTCTTAGGCAAAATTACAAATGCATGTAATGAATTCAGTGTACTGGAGAAGTTTGGTGCCTCTATTAGCACCACAAGCATGAGTGTTATTAGTAAAATAAGTGAAGTATTTGACATAATGAATGGAATATACTACAACTAAATGCAATTAATCTTTCTTTGGATTAGAGATGCTCAGAATAATTTTATTGAATACATTTAATTTTTTACTATGGCATCATGCTAAAATACAAATTCTCTTTTCAAACTGAAAAACAATATAAACTATTCTTTATTGTTTTGTTTCTAACATAATGCTAAAAAAGTACCATTGAGATATGTAATAAATAAAATAATCCCAGAGTTAAGGAAAAGTGTTATTCAAAGTGTTTAGCAACCTGCACTGCACAAAAAGACCAATCAGAATGCCCATCATGACCAAGCAGAAGAGATAATGGCCCCAGCAGCCAGAAAGATGCATGGTTTTGCACTGGCATAACCTCACCTCTGGATGTAAACACTCCATGTAAGACAATACAACAAAAATGACAAATTAAGATTTCACCGTCTCCTTTCACTATATTTATTGATGCAGTGCAAGCATTTATAGAGTACAATATCTCCAATCTCTTGCTTTTAGTCTTACACTTAAATAATTTCTACCATTTAATGTAAAAGCTTGGGAGCTAAAATGTAATTATGAGAGATTCTTGATCTTACAAGAAGCTTAGAATGAGAAATCAATTTTCTTTGCCACTAGCTTGAAAAATATTAATAATTCATGAGAAATAAAATGAATGTGTTTTGAAATGGGATGAGTATATATAAATACACACATATATATGTCTATGTATGTGTATATACATACACAATAATACAACAATATAACAGTTAAGGAATGTAAGGTTGTATTTCTTGTTTTGTATGTAAATTATAAAATTAAGGTTATAGAAATATCAAATATTTATGTAAAAACCTGGAAGACACAATAAAATGTATTTTCATGAGATTGAAAATTATTTCTGCACTTCTCTACTACCATGTAAAAATAGTTTGCAAAAATTTAGAAATGTGTGGTCAAAAATTAAAATAAGATTTAATAATTTTAGATTTATATCTTATACTGAATTTAAGAACTGACATCTGTAAAGAACATGTTTTTAAATGTGAAATTTCATTCAATCATGGAAAATCTTTGTCTTGCTTTAATTTATAATCTTGAAATCTTTTTTCTACATTACAGGATACATTTAATATCTGTCTGTAGCTGCATTGTTTTTTGACCTTTGGCAGAAATATATTCATTTCATATTTTAAACACCTAAGCTACTTACAGTTCCTGGCCGTGGATAGGGGACTCTTCCTTGATAAGGCACCCATTGATAGTTGGGTCCATCCCTGTGGGCATATGGACCAAGGAACACCCTTCTCACATCACTCATGCTATACATACACACGGCTGATCCCTTGAAAATGTTACTGAACAAGACAGCAAGAATAAAAACAGAAGTTCATCTTTATACAATGGTAAGAGAAATATTGATACTGAGTTCTTACATTTTAGATATGATTTATTAAAATATGAATATAAATTCTTAGCAATAATGTTTGGGATTTTTCTAGTCACATGTATGCATTTAACAATACACAAAAGAACAAAAAATTGTGATTTCTTAAAAATAGAAGGCATAGGTGAAAATGGCTTCAGTACTCATGGAATATACGCCTTCATATGAAACATAGAGTACTAAGTTTTGATAGGAAAAACAAATACATATAAACTATAAATGAATATGTAATTTTAATATCGTGGGGAAATTTTTTAAAATGTTGGTTAAGTCTCAAGCATTATTACTGAAACCAGGAAACTTTTAAATTAGCAAGAATGTTTAAGAACTCACTTTGTAGGCTGAAACTAGTACAAAAGATCGTGTCAAATGATGTGCCACATTATATTATTTTTAAATTCCCAAAAGTATTAGATCAAGTAGAAGTTGATTCTTGTGAAGACACTTAAAATCAGCTCTTTCTAACACAGAAAATAATTACGTTAGTAGCTATTTCACTCAGTTAAAGTGGAGAATTACAGCAATTATACTCATCATTTCACTAAACAAAAATTTTGTTCGCTAAACAAAAAATCAGATAGACTGGAAGTAAGCCACTGAATTGCCACAATTTTCCATTTTATGGCAGGGCGCGGTGGCTCAAGCCTGTAATACCGGCACTTTGGGAGGCCAAGGCGGGCGGATCACAAGGTCAAGAGATCGAGACCATCCTGGCTAACACGGTGAAACCCCGTCTCTACTAAAAATACAAAAAATTAGCCAGGTGTGGTGGCGGGTGGCTGTAGTCCCAGCTACTCGGGAGGCTGAGGAAGGAGAATGGTGTGAGCCGGCGAGGTAGAGCTTGCAGTGAGCCTAGATCGTGCCACTGCACTCCAGCCTGGGCTACAGAACAAGACTCCGTCTCAAAAAAAAAAAAAAAAAAGAAAGAAAAAGAAATTCCATTTTATTAGGCTTATAGAAATGTGGCTTGAGTAATGTATTTATACAAAGATATTAAACAGTTCTGCACATTTAAAATATGGAATGCTTATCTTTTAAACAAACTTCCCCCTTGAAAATTACATATAAATCAGACCAAATGAACAACATGTGCTTGCAATAGTTTGTTATTGGAAACTACTGCATATAGACAGCGATTCATAGACTGCAAGTTTCATGAGGGAAGAGACCATGCCTGGCTTCTTTTCGGCTACATCAATTACATATATCACATGGCATTTCAGAGAGTAAACCTTAATAAATACTTACAGAATTTAATAACATTTTCATAGCAGAACAAATAGCAAATTAGTGCATACTTGATACATCACACTTTGTAATGTTTGGGTTATCTATCCCCTTTCCATTATTCTTTGCTTATCTTTGATTAAGTCAGCTATCATCGAAATACTTAAGGAGTATGATAGGTAGCTATTAGGACTCACATACAAATATCCATTCTATTGACATAAAGAGGTGAAATTATTTTATCTCTAGCTCTCAAAAGGTGGTCCCTAGACAAACAACATGGGCATCACCTGGGTACTTGTTTGAACTGCATATTCTTAGGTCCCATTTAATTTCTATTGAGCCAGAAACTCTGGAGGCAAGGCCTAGGAATCTGAATTTTATCATGCTGTCTAGGAGATTCTGATGCACACTCAAATTTGAGTCACTGCACTAAGCAATGAGTAAACAGAAGAAATGGATTCATATTTGTCTGAGTCTCTCAAGTTCTATAGCTTAGTCATTCTGGTTTTCTTTTTTTCCAAAGGGAAGAAATATTATTTAGGTATGCAGAACTGCAAATAGTTTTAGGAATATGGATTCCTTAATTTTTATGTGATTTTAAAAAATTATTGAGTAAAAACATCCAAGCAATTTGTAATGGCTTTAATAGTTACAGAATAAAACAGTGTTGGACATTGCAGTTAATCATTTTCTTTGCTATCAAAGTTACTTGCAGTACTTTTCCTGACTTTCGATTTTTAATTATTTTTCTTTTAACATTTCATCCATATCCCAATGCATATCCTTCTTTATATGCATGTAAATGTACATGTGTTTCTTTCAACAACCCCAGGTAATGTGAACTTTATACTGAATGTAATAGTCTAGAGGGAAATAATCTCTGCTTAATTGACAGCGAGAGACTTAGGGAGGATGAGAAATAGGAAAAGGAGAAGGATGAGGAAAGAGGGAAGGAGGCAAGAGGAAGAGAGAGAAAGAGAGGAAGTAGAAGGGGAAGGAAGAAGGGAAGGAGCCCGTGGAGAAAGAGCAGGAAAAGCAGGGCAGGGATAAAAAGACAAGGAAATTAAGTTTGAGTTTGACACTGGTTACAAAAAAAAAAAAAAAAAAAAAAACCCAGTCATAATGTTGTAATGCTGAAAGTTTTTGTTTGTTTTTATTATGTGCTGTAATGGTGAAGACTTTTGTTTTTATTATGTCTTTTTATGTGATTATAATGTAACCCTAGTGCTGTAATGCTGAAGGTTTTTGTTTATTTTGTTTATGTCTTTTTACATGATTATTTTAAAATCTGGGTTACAAGGTAGATAATAAAAAACTAAATGGAGCCTCAGGGAAAAAAAAGTAGATTTTTTTACAAAGAGAATCTATTTACTGACTTAAAAAGCTTTAAAACTATTTACACTATGTAAAGTGTCTTCAATTGTTATATTAATAACTTTTCACACAATCTTAGCTAAAAGGTTGAGAAGCGATGATTGTATTAATAATTTTTTAAATTACCTAAAAGCAATTAAAACATTTCTTTTGTAAACAATCAACTTTCTCCAAACATACACATTTCTAGTTTAGTTCTAGGTTTAAAGGTTTAAAGAATGCAGAAAAGTGTAGCAAATATCCCATCTGTGGAATAGAGATACTGGGAAGAACCATGGACTGTTTTGACATTTCCAGATGTATTTTGTCCCCAGATTCCCATGCTAATCATCTGGGCAAAGATAGGACTTTCAGTGGAATTGCTGATGGGCTTTTCTCTGATCTCATTCATTAGCAATTGACTAAAGTGACAGAGATCAAGAGACAGAGAACTTTTTCCATTATATTTTCAACAAATTTTAAATTAATTTTTCCATCCTTAATTTATATCCCTACAAACTCTTCCCAAAACTCAGACTTCCATCTGTATAATATTTTACATTATTATAATAATGTAAAAGGTTTAAAGTCAAAGATATGCATAAGATGACATGAACATTTCAAACTGTTTATTACATATTCACATCATTACAATGATGATTTTTTCTAAAATTGATTTAGAAAACAAACATCTACGTAGATCATAACTTCTTTCAGTCACCCAAGAGTACACAACAGCTCAAAGGTTAAAGCAACACTTGCCTTTCAAAAATATACTTTTGCAAATTATGAGTACTTGGATAGCACCTAAATAACATTAAGTTTCTATAAGGTAGTTAAAAAGTTACTTACCTGGAAGTCGTAAACACTCCATATACAACTGGATTTTTAGGATCTTTAAAGTTCATTAGGAATACATCCTCTGTTTAAAAACAAAATTGGAGAAAGTTGCTTTTTTATGGAATGGCAAAGTCTGAACAAATATTCTCTATACATAAACACTAGCTTCTTACGCAGTTCATCAAAATGAGTGTCAATGCCATTTGGACCTGGCACTGAGCAAATCAGACGAGCTTTGAGGAATGTTGTCCATTTATTCACCAGACTTCTGTGCCCTCCAAAGTCATTCTGAAAGAAGGGAACACCAGTGTTAGGCACTGTTAATGAAAATGATAATTTGAAACATTTCTATTTTCTTCATATCTTCAGACAAACATAAAATACAGTTTCTCATGTTTTAAAAGTTCCTAATCATTTTAAATGACCAGATATAGGTAACTATCACTTATTGTTACATTTGTGGTCGAATCGTTCCCTCAAGCTTTTTTGACTTTTTAAGGGATATTTATTGTGAGTAGTCCCTTTATTTATTCAAGGGATTACTTATAAAGTCAATTCATGTTCATCTACAGATCAATGGATAAAGAAATTGTGGTCCATTTACACAATGGTCTACAATTCAGCCTTAAGAAAAAGGAAATCAATTAGATAAGAGGAAAAAACAGTTTTTTCTTTGAGATATGTTGCACAATGTGGTATCATAAATAATAATGTATTATACATTTCAAAATCATAGTAAATTTCAAATGCTGTCACCACAAAAAATAAGTATTTGAGGTGATGGGTGTGTTAATTAGTTGATTTAATTATTACACATTATATTCAAAAATCAACATTGTTTTGTACTCATAAATTTATATAATCATAATTGTCAATTTACAGTTTAAAAGCAAAAATCAAGAAGAAGGAAATCTTGTCATTTGAGACAACATGAATAAACCGGGGGACATTATGTTAACAGAAATAAGACAAGCACGGAAAGACAAATACCTCGTGACCTCACTTATATGTGGAATATAAGAAGCTGAACTCACAGATGCAGAGAGTAGAATGGTGGTTACCAGGGCCTTTGGGGGAGGGATGAAGAGATTTGGTCCAAGATATAAAATTTCACTTAGGAGAAATGAGTTTAAGAGATCTATTGTACAACACCATGACTTTAATTAATAAAAATGAATTATATTACTGAAAATTGTGAAAAGAGTAGATTTTAAGTCTTCTCGCCACGAAGAATTATAAGTATGTGAGATAATGCATATTAATTAGCAGGATCTAGCCATTTCACATTTTAAAACATCATGTTGCACACAGTAAATATATACAATTCTTACTGTCTATTAAAATAAATGATTGATAGAATCTTTAAAAATCACTTAAACTTCCTTTCTACTCTGCAATGAATGGATTCGTTTTGTTTTAGTATAATGCTCTCTCTCCTACCTACTATTCATAGAGATCTAACCTACATAGGCTTGTTCACAGCCAGTGCTTGTACACAGTAGGCATTCAGTGAGTATTTAATGAATGGATGATAAATATATGCCTTAAATACACATACAAAAAATAGATCTCAAACAAAAGCACGCTAGCATCAAATATTTTATAAGCTGAAGGAGTTGAAGCAATTTATATTTTACAAACAACACGTTGAGAAAATATTTGAATAACCGTTAATAAAGGAAACTCATTCCAGAGAACACATTTTGAAAATCTCACCTTGAAGAAAACTGATTTAACCTAAGCAAAGTAATAAATTCTACTATTGAGGTATGTGTTTACTAGAAACTATAGTTTTCACAAATGATATTTATGTACATATATTGAGAGCACATGTTCCTTTAAAGTAAAACTGATTTATATTTTATTTATATACTTTTAAACACCTTAGAGATTTTTTTTAAGCCTTGAAAGTAGTGCTTTTAAATATGACATGTATTTTGTGGAGAAAAAAGTCTCATCTACTTCACATGTTATTTATATGTTTTCAAGTATTGAAAACTTTTAATTTTTCAGTAATTGAATATAGTAGAGGTAATAATTAGATCATATTGGGGTAACGGGTCACACATAGAAAGAAACAGATTTTTTAAATTTCAGGATGCTTTCTTCAAAAGATAGAATTCAATTTTAAGACAATCATTGAATGTGGGCTTATGATTTTCTTTATTTGAAGGGTGCTTTAATATGTACTAAGAGTTAACTTTTTCATATTGCAGGAATACTGCACTAGGCACCGTAGAGGGAAACAAATGGAACTATTATATTTTCACACTGATGATACTAATTAATAATCTATAAGTGTTTATTGAACAATTTTTATTCTATGTATCTAACAGTATAATGCAATATTACATTTGACATTATGCCACACAATAAGTGAAATACCTCAGATAGTTAAAGCTCACAGCTTCAAAATTGTTTTTGTGTGGGTGTTTGTGTGTGTGTGTATATGTGTGCATAGGATGCTACAATCAGTTTGTAAAAACGAGCTTTCATGTTTTTCTCTCTTAAATGAATACTTCACATCTTCCAACAACAAATATTTATTCAAAACTTGCAAGGTAGGCCGGGTGCAGTGGTTCACGCCTGTAATCCCAGCCCTTTCGGGGGCCAAATCACCAGAGATCAGGAGTTCAAGACCAGCCTGGCCAACATGATGAAACCCCGTCTCTACTAAAAATACAAAACTTAGCTAGCCATGATGGCAGGTGCCTGTAATCCCAGCTACTTGGGAGGCTGAAGCGGGAGAATCACTTGAACCAGGGAGGCGGAGTTTGCAGTGAGCTGAGATTGCATCACTACACTCCAGCCTAGGGGGCAGAGCAAGACTCTGTCTCAAAACAAAACCAAAACTTAAAAACTTACAAGGTATAGAAAACTGTGCTAGGACTGAAAAAACATAAATTACCTTCTCCCAGGTAAAATAAAACCATTTTGTTACTGTAGAATTTCAAACAAATATTACGTAATGTAATTGTGAAATAATGCCAGTTACCTCACAACCTGTACCTGTATATTTGACTGCGAAGAGTTACTCATAACCAACTATAATATTCAATCATTATTTACCATTTATTTGTTATGTGAGTCAAGCTTTAGCCATAATTTTTATTGTATATGCACACAGGTAGAAAATTTTAAAAAGCAAAGCTGTTATGGGAAAATGACATCCTTCTCAGTTTTTTTTTCTTTACCTCACCTTGCATATCTGACCTATTCTAGCGTGAGTAGCTTTTCCAGAGTGTTCTCCATCTATTGCATTTTCACGGAAGAAAAAGTATACTTTGTCATCTTCAGGATTGTCACTCTCTGAGATGAGGTGGGCACTAATGAACTTTGGATCTGAGAGACAAATAATAGCGTATATATTAATTCACAGCTTAATAAATAATACCATTCTGAACAGTCCATTTTTACTTTTTTTAACTCTTAATTGATATATTTCAAGAAACGTATCTTTCGTTTGTTCATTTTGTAGGTACATATTAATTGTTCTTTATGCATTATAAAGTATCTTACAAAATACCTTATATCTCTAGAAAAATGTATTCATTTTGTTCTGAAGGTTAGGAGTAGGTGCAGAAAGAAATCTTTAGGGTGATCATACATTGCAGATGCGTTACTGGATATTAAAATATTTTGCAAACTATAAGTACTATCAAATATTACTTATTGCTGTCACCATTGTTATTCTTTCTTTTAAGCATAAGAATTTAAATCAAAATATTAATTGGTCTATTTCAGTTTTCAGCAAAGACTAGGTGGGCAGGGAAAAGTGAAATCCGTATAAAACAAAATAAATCCTCTCCTGTCATTCCCCTTTCCTGTAAATGGCAGTGTCATTCCACTAGATACACAGGAAAAAACCCTGGCCACCCTTGAATTCTCCCTTTCTCTCACACCCAACATTCTATCTATCAGCATATCCTTATTTATCATGATTTCTTACCACATTCTTCAATACCACCTTCCTTCAGGAAACTATTGCCAATCTGAATTATTAAAATAGATTCCTAACTAGTTTCTTAGTTTCTACCTTACCAACCCTTGTCTCCACACGACAGCCAGAATGAACCTCCGCTCTCTCACTCCTTCTCCAAACTCTCAATTGGATTTATTGTCTGGTATGATACATATCCTAAACAATTTATTGATTAATCTCTCCATTTATCTATCTAATCTTCCTTTGCTTATTGTCTGTCTCCCCTGCCACCCCAGTGAAATATACGTTCCATGAGAATAAGTATTTGTTGTATTTTTTGTTGATGCGGTGAACCTAGAGCTTAAAACGTGATAGGCAGTCATGAATATCTGTGCAATGAGAAAAGAAAAGAAAAATGGTGAGGGGAGGGGACTGTCTAGGTTACACAGAATGTATATCAGCAATATTTAGAGCTCCACTTCAAACAGTATTTTTGAACGTTCCTGGGTTGATATGCCTGTGCCTCACAAACTATATAAAATATGTAATAGCTTCATAGCTTTAAGATGCTATGTGCAACGAAGCTAAGTGTACCTCACTGAAGGCACTTAGGATACTGCAGACATTTATATTCTTACAATAATCTACCTTTATCCCTTAGTGTATTATTTTATCCAGGTAACAATGAAATATACACGTACAGGTCAGCACCATTCTTAAGAGACCAGGAAGAGATCAGAACTTGAAACTAGCTTTATCCACATATAATCCAAGTTATTTAGTCCTGATCTTTACACCTGTGAATAATCATTATCATTTGTCCTATGCGTGTAACCTTTTAACATTTGCTCTGGGACCATGCATTCAAGTATATTTCACAAGGCCACACTTTACTATCCTTTTCAGGGAAATTATACAGATTCTGGAAATAACATGAAACATGAAATATTACCTGTTCATATTTAAAGCTCAGTGTGCCAGTGAACAAGAGTAGGAGAATAATAGTTTTAAAGTAGAATTGCTTAGCACCAGCTTTTTTAAAAGATCCATACAATAATACAATACTCTAACCTGGATAACTGTTGCAAAGCTTTCTTTTGTTCAAAAATTTCTACTTGTTCACATTCATATATATATATTATATATGTAAATATGCATATATAGTGAGGAGTATGTATTCTTATGATGGGTGGTGAGCAGAATAATTAATGTGACATGTTAGGAATTACTGTCACAAACTAAAGAATTACTATCACATTGGTAAAGTTAGGCTCCAGAAATGTGTGTGTGTATGTTTGTGTGTGAGCACATATGTAACAGAAACCTGGCCGGGCACGGTGGCTCACGCCTGTAATCCCTGCACTTTGGGAGGCTGAGGCGGGTGGATCACAAGGTCAGGAGATCGAGACCATCCTGGCTAACACGGTGAAAGCCTGTCTCTACTAAAAATACAAAAATTAGCCGAGCGTGGTGGCGGGCTCCTGTAGTCCCAGCTACTTGGGAGGCTGAGGCAGGAGAATGGCATTAACCCGGGAGGCGGAGCTTGCAGTGAGCCGAGATCGCGCCACTGCACTCCAGCCTGGGCGACAGAGCGAGACTCTGTCTCAAAAAAAAAAAAAAGAAAAAAAAAGAAACCTGTGTGTGCAGTGATTTAATTTAGTCACTTGTAGCTTCTGTGTCCTTTAACAAGACTCTTCCGTCTCTGAGCTCAGATGCATACTTTTCAAATTATGTTTATTTCAAATCGAGTTACTTCAAACTGAGATCTATTCACCTTGTCTGTCATAAATAGTTCATATAAAAACAAATATTTTAAGCCTAAGACATGTGAAACAAATTTGTAAAATGTTAACAAATATACTATATTAACATCGTTATGATGATACTAAAAGGAAGCCTCCATCACATGGTAAGTTTGAGGATATTATAATCCAACTGCAGAATAAAAATGAAAACAATCATACATTCTTCTGCTTTAATACTGGAACAATGGAGGGAGAAGTTGGTCTACTATTACCTCCCAAATTAGTGTAGTTGTTCATACAAACACTTGAATAACTTAAAGAACTCTAAGCAATTACATTCAGTTGCCTTTTATTAGATCACAAATATGTGCAAGACGCCATGTAGAAAAGAGTATCCATAATATATAATCCTTGTTCTCAGAAAGCCACAGTCTAACAAAAGCAATGTTAAAAGCATGAAAATGACAACAAAGAAAACAATATTTTACATGTATAGATTCTTATGTTCTCTTGGTGTTTGGGCATGAGTGAAGGTGTCATTGAGCACTGCACTGACCTCTCTAAAATATGTGAGGATAATTATTATCTTACAAATGTGGACTCTAGTGGGAAATAACTCAATCAAATTATCAAGTATATTCATTGCTGAAAGGACCTTCAATCTTAGTGTCTTCTTCAATATATGATAACTACAGATGTGGGGATTTTTGCATGTGAATTAACAATCTCATCTAGTTTCAGGTACAGCCAAAAAATAGAAGTATGCACAGAAAATGAAAACCAAATTCATTAACACAGAAAATGAGAATATCCAAGAAAAACATTGTCAATTTAACACAACTTGTGTTCAAGAAATTTAGGTTATATCTCAGACTTGAAAAACAATCATTCCCATTTCCAAATAAAACAGGCCTTGATTTTAGCTGATCTCTTCCAACAATTTAAAAGGAGCCATTCTTCTAATGTTTCACATTTAGAAAATCTGCTTTTTGGCCAAAACCTCTGCTCACCACACATTTTCTACTTCTTCAGTCCCACAAACGTTGCCTTCCCCTTCCTTTTTATGTTTTGTCCTCTTAGCCCTCTTTCTTATTCTCTAAGTGTATTCATCCCCTCACTGATGAATCACCTCTTTATTCAATCCGAACCTTCAAATCAGTCATTCCAACTGTCTTCCCTATTATCTAGGATTTCTTGGCTGCTGGAATCTCCACTGTACCAGCTTTATAAATCCCCAGATTTTTTTCCCTTTGTCCTTACATTTAAGCAAGGGTTTAAAACCCCATGTACTCATAGTAAATATATCTGCTATAAATTGAAGCTATTTTTCCTAAACAAGAACCCTAGTGTTGCTAAGAAATTGTTTTATTTTCTTATAAGATCACTATAGATTTATTATCAACAACTGTTTTAAAGCACCCTGCTCTTCGTCAAATCGACAAATATACATCTTTAATGTATTCTGTAAAGATGGTGTTGTTACCTGCTGTACTGATAGGACCAAAGCCATTTAGCAATAACTCCCTCCTTTTCCTTCCTTCACCTCCGAATTTCTCTTCCTTTCAGGGAAGAATGATCTTTTCTCATTTTTAAGTCTAAGGTCTCTCACTATGTGGTCTCAATCCAATATTCTACAAACTATTGCTCAAATAAATTTATTCTTTATGTAATCACTTACTATTTATATTTTCATTTATAAAATAAGTGTTAAGCACCTACTGTATACTCTGGATTGTGGAAGATTAGGGCATATTAAGGTAAAATTTTTTTGTCTACATTGTAGTTATTATCTTCAAGGGAATTCTGATAATTAAACTGAACAACTGTTAAACTTCACAGAAAGAACAAAAATAAGAGCTTAGAAAAAAATGCCATGGGAGATAGGGCATTGAAGGACTACACCAGAAAGAATTTGCATAAGTCTTAGTCAGAAGATATGACATATACTTCAAGATCTGAAGAATAACCAGAAACATCTCAGGTGAAGGAATGCATTTGCAAAATCACAGGAACAACGGAGAAAGTTGTACACACAGAGAGTAGTCAAGAAGAAGGGAGGTGGTCAGAAATGATGACAGTAAGTTAAGCAGAGACCAGAATATGCAGGAAGTCATGTTCAGAAATATATCTGGCCTACTGGCTCTGGACAAAGCCACTGAAGTGTTCTAGACCTAGTAATGACATTGTCAGGAGTATATTTTCAGAAGATCACTCCTGCTGCTGCAGAGAAAAACAAAACAAACAAAAACAAAACAAAAAACAACAATAAAAAACAATTGCAGTGAGGCCAAAATGAAGGCAGGAAGACCAGTTTGGTGGCTGTCATAGAAACTCAAATGAGAAAGGACAGTGACCTGGATATGGATGGGGTAGTGAAGATAGAGAAAGGAGACATGCAGAGATCAATTGAAAATAGAACTGATGAATTATGCTCATTGATAATATGTCGAATGTAAGAAATAGTGAGAAAAATCATAAAAAAGAAACTTCTGATTTGAATAATTGCTTGTAGAGGAGATACTAAGAGAGCATGTGAGCAAGGGAACATTTGAGCGATGGAAGGAAGACAAGCTCTGTTTAGTGCGTCTTTAGAGAGCCTTGTGAAGACCCAAAGGACATGAATAAAAAAGCTTAGGAAGGAAATGTGAACTAGAGTTGAAGTTATTTGAAACTGAGCCAGTGGAGTGATTAGGAGTGTACAGAGTAAAAAGAAAAAAAAAAAGAGAAGAGAAACTAAGACCTGGAGAAAGGTGAGGAAAAGTAGAAAGGATTCTCACAAGTGGGGAGTTGCAGAAAGGAAGGAAGGAGATATAGTTCTTCCTTAGATTTTTATTCTTTCCCTTTTTAATGACGTGTCTTTAAATACAAATATGTACTTTAAAATTTCTTTATCCTGAAAATAAACTTCCACAGACACTGTATGCTCTAGAGTCTCATGATTCCTTGCATTCATTCTTTAAACTAGAGGACTTTTTCAATGGGTACATGTATATATCCTGCGGTTTTGCATCCTTCACTACTATTGTATTGATAATCAACCAGAACTATCAAATAAAAAAAATAGATTTGTATACTTATCCTGCGTTGTCTTCAGACATTGGCACAATACAATTTCACATGTTTTTAATATTTCCATTGCTTTTTCTGGCTTCTTGTGGCTTTTCTGACTCTGAACCTGAATTGTAAGCTATCTAAACTTCACTATTTCATTCATGACTTCTCTTTCCCTTTTTCTAAATTTCTGTATATATTCTTAAATTTTTCTTTAGGTGTCCTTTATTTTCTTTTACTTCTATAAATGAAGTAATCACCTAGTGTTTCTTTCACTATTTCAATATTGTTAATGATTTTTTTCTTTCTTTTTTTTTTTTTTTTTTTTTTTTTTTTGAGACGGAGTCTCACTCTGTTGCCCAGGCTGGAGTGCACTGGCATGATCTCGGCCCACTGCAACCTCCACCACCCGGGTTCAAGTGATTTTCCTGCCTCAGCCTCCCAAGTAGTTGGGATTACAGGCGATGCCACCACACCTAGCTGATTGTTGTATTTTTAGTAGAGATAGGGTTTCACCATATTGACAAGGCTGGTCTTGAACTCCTGACCTCAGGTGATCCACCTACCTTGGCTTCCCAAAGTGCTGGATTACAGGTGTGAGCCACTATGCCCAGCTGTTAATGATCTTATATTTACTTATTTCTCTTTGAGAACATATATTTCTATAGCTTCGATTTCATCAAGCTATGTCAACTTTCCTATTTTTTTTTTTTAGACCCAATGCTGCATTTCAAAATTCTGGATAAAAATTTCTATCTAGATAACTCACTACAACTTTAATTTATCATATCTATTTCTTAATTTTATAAGAAATATCTTAAGTAATTTCTTAAGTTTATAAGTTTCTTACTTACAAACTTTCCTCTTGAAACTGCTTCTGCTCCTACCTTTTTCATTTTGGTAAATCTCATCAAAATAAAATGTTATTTTACCTTAAAACTTTCCATCTCTTGCAGGACTTCTTTTTCACTGCTCTAAATTTAATACCAAAAGTATTTATATGGTTTTCATTTTGTTTTCTTGTTTTATAATCTTAATGTTGCCAGTATAATTTGTGTCCTTATTATTTTACAGTAATATTTTGGAATAATATAACTGGTCTTCCCCCTGCATTATCTATTTCCTCTAAGCCCCCCATACAGTGTACAAAAATAAATATGAATGCATTTATACAATACATTTTCCAGAACAGATTTCAGGTTTCATAGATTTGAGAAATTAACACAATTTAAGACATACAAACCAAAAAGACAAAACTGATGTACTGACATTACTCTGTCAGGACAAAGGCTAAAAGTATCTACCACATGGATCAATATATATACTTGAGGTGGGTCACGATTTTGGCTCCCAAGTTTTTTAGCACGATAGGGAAATGGGAAACCTTGTCAGTTACATTATTCACAGTGTTGCTAATATGCATTAACTAACCTTGATATATCTTTCCACCAGAACTGACCACAGACTCTCATTAGGAATCCTTTAATTAAACTGTTTATCATTCTACAACACCTTATCTACTGTCTTTATAAGCTTGTTGTTCATGTGACATAGAATATTTGCTTCTACTTATTTTATAACATTTAATTCTTTTTAAAATATCTGCATTTTCATATTTGTCTTACGACAGGCATTTGCCCTATATTTCTCCCTCTCTCGCCTTCA
Source organism: Homo sapiens (assembly GCF_000001405.40). Taxonomy (NCBI): domain Eukaryota; kingdom Metazoa; phylum Chordata; class Mammalia; order Primates; family Hominidae; genus Homo; species Homo sapiens. The sequence goes on from NC_000007.14 coordinate 84,021,393, forward strand.
GCTTCTATATATAACAATGTTTTCCAGTAAGATTATTTTTAATCTTTCCCACTGCAACTATCCGCATGTAGGCCCTTATCTTTTCTCTCCTGGCAGTCACATTCACTCTGTTTTTTCCCTGCCTCCGGCCTTACCATCTCCAAACCACGTTGTATGGTCTATTGCCTTTTAACACACAAACCTTTCCCTGGCATCTGGTGCATATTCCACAATTAGAATCTATAAAACTCTATCTTAATCACTTGTTTCCCTCCATCATCTTGTAAACTAATATCCCTATTTTTTTCTTTTTCTTTCTTGCTAAGCATAAATCCTGAAACAGTGCATAGTTCCCAAATGACTCAATGAATGAATTAATACATAAATGAATCTCCTGAACTAAAAATTGGTAGGTTCTTTTGAAAGAAGGAATTACATTTTCTTGTTTTTTGGCATGGTTTACAAGTTTTTTGGATGAGTCGAGCTTATCATAGACTTGAAAATGTTTAGGTTGTCAGTTAAAGAAATGCTTATACATGCTTCTTTAAATTTGCTACTA